>NW_021160018.1:0-300000 GCF_000001405.40 Homo sapiens
GCCTTCAAGTCCAGCGTCGCAAGCATGGCAATACCCCTTCTCTACTAATGTTCAAAAATAAGCAGGGCATTATGGCGCGTGACTGTAATCCCGGCCACTCAGGAGGATGAGACTGGAGAATCGCTTCAACCCGGGAGATATTTGCTGCAGTGAACCCAGTGCACCACTGCATTCCAGCCTGGGTGGCTGAGCGAGAGTCCGTCTTAAAAAAAAAAAAAAAGACACAAGAAAGAACAGACCAAAATACTCCATTGTTTCAGAACATTTCCCCAGAAGACCCCAAACGCCCTGAGTCAGGTCAAGGAGGTGGTGCTTTATTTTACTTGTCTCTCTCTCTTTCTCTCTCTCTCTCTTTCTTCCCTAACTGTTATTTGTTTTTGAAGCATACATGTGCAAGATTGTTTCATAGGTAAACTTCTGAGTAGGGTGTTCAGTGTGCCGATGATTTCCTCACCCGGATTCTCAGCGCAGTCCCCTACAGTTTTTGTGTTCTGCTCGTTTTGCTTTGTCCTGAAGCTGTCTGTCCTTCCACACGTCCTCCCTCAGGTAGGCTCCTGCGTCTCTCGTCCCCCTAGTTCTTCGCATGCATTCTCATTATGTAGTTCCCACTTTTGTGTGAGAACACGCGGTATTTAGATGATTATTGTTTCATCTTCGGTGGTGGTGATGAAAGAGGCATGACACTACATCGACCCTTAGGAAGCTCCCCTCCATCCCCACCCTACACCCCCTCCCCACGCACACCGTCTTTCCTGCACCCCCTCCTGAAACCCAACAAACGAAGAAAGACAGAAATTAAAGTAAGAGTTCAGCCACCAAGGCGGTGGTGGGGGGAATCTCAAACGGTGAGCAGGCGATGGGAGTCTGGGGATGTCATGGCCTAGGTAGCAACAATAGGGGACCGACTTTCCAGCCCCCCCCCACACTCCCTAATCCTCAGCCATCACTTTGGAGTTCATCCAAGGAAGGCTGGTCTCAGGGACTACATACCTAACCTCTCTGGGCTTCTATAGGATAAGATGTTATGGCCAGACGCGGAGCTCACGCCTTTAATCTCAGCACTTTGGGTGGTCAAGTTGGGTGGTACGCCTCAGGTTGGGTGTTCTAGACCAGCCTGACCATTATGGAGCTACCTAGTCTCTATGAAAAAAAAAAAAAATTAGCCAGGCCTGGAGGTGTTTGCCTGTGGTTTCAGCTACTCGAAAGGGTGAAGACTGGAAAATCTCTTGAACACAGGCGACAGAGGTTGCGGTGAGCTGAGGTCGCGCCACTGAACTCCAGCCTGGGCAATAAGAGCGAAACTCCACCTGAAAGACAAAAAAAAAAAAAAAAAATGAAAAGGAAAGAAGATTTTATGAAGTATAGTTTATATCAATCGGCTCTCACTGTACCTTGAGAGATTCCGAAAATCGCTACTTAATGACCGAAGAAAACACCAGCTAACAGGTTTTCGGGAAAATACACATCTTCCTAAAATTGGTAAAATCTACTTCAACTGAAAAGAGATAAGTAAAGTAAAAACTACAAACAAAACAAAACGTAAAAACAAACACAGACCAAGGCATCGCTTGTGGAAATATTATGTAAGCAAATTGTCACTTTTTAGAAAGCATTTCTATGTTGGGCAAATACCAGTAAGGCCCAGGGAAGATCTGTGAAATGTGGCAGCATGCACCATTTTAAGGGCTGAAATCTATCTGTGTGTCTCCTTTCATCACAACTCTTTTTTTTGGGCGGGCGGATACCTGGAGTTCATGAGTTCAAGAGCAGTCTGGGCAATATAGCAAAATTCTGACTACTAAAAAGGCAAATGTTAGCTGGGTATGGTGTCACACAGAACTATGTTCCAAGAGGAAGCATCACAAATACCCATGGTCCGCAGTCAAGAAATGAACTGAGTTTACAAGTTTGTAGTGTCATTGCTGCCTCGAAAGGTGAGATGCATATGTTTGTGTCACTGCGGGTTTCTATTTCTTCTTGGAAACTCACTTATTTTTAATTACTTTTTTTTTTTTTAGATGGAATCTGACTCTGTCACCCAAGCTGGAGTCCAGTGGCATGATCTGGGCTGACTGCAATCTCCATCTCCCGGCTTCAACAGATTCTACTACCTCAGCATATAGAGTAGCTGGGAGTAGAGGTGCGTGACACCACACCTGGTTAATTTTTGTATTCTTCATACAGACAGAGTTTGACTATGTTGGCCAGGCTGGTCTCAAACTCCTGACCTCGTAATCCTCCCACATCCGCCTAGCAAACTGCTGAGATGAGAGGAGTGACCCACTGCACCCAGCCTACTGGTTTATTTTTAAAAATAGCAATTTGGGTCGGGCGCAGTGTGTCTCGCCTTTCTATATCAACCAACATTCTTTCTCGAGTCTGATGACCTGGGATCTCCCAGCACTTTGGGAGGACGAGGCCACAGGATTCCTGGAAGTCGGAGTTCAAGACCAGCCTGGGCAACATGGGAAAACCCTGTCTTTACTAAAAAGGTAAAAGTTAGCTGGGTATGGTGGCACGTGCCTGTTATCCCAGCTACTCGAGAGGCTAAGGCAAGAGAATCGCTGGAACCTGGGAGGCGGAGGTTGCAGTGGCCCGATACTGCGCCATGGCCTGACCAACAGAACAAGACTCCATCTCAAATAAATTAATAAATACGTTAGTTAATCGAAAAGTTTAAAAAGAAAACTTCAAGGACGTTGCAGGAATGCACGGGAATGCTTCTCTCATTCCTAAAGATCAGAGCAGAAACACAGTACCATCAGGTTGAGATACAGGCCATTGTGAATCTCTTCTCACTGTGCTCAACTGACACCAAAGAAGGGCAGGTTTCCATGCCGCCCGTTCATCATCACCGCTCTCGTCAAGTATAATTGCAGAGTCATGACTACACAGAGATCTCTCAACCCACCAACTGCGTCCTTACTTGTATGAGTGCAGTTGAAAGAATAAACAGGGCATTTAGCGAAGTAATCATCATATGTTCTTTTGTCTCTCGTGTCTCTCATGAAACCAATCAGATTCGTGGACCACTTTTTCCCCACCCTTCGAACATCCACAGAGCATCAAAATAAAAGAGCAGTGAATGCCTTTTACGCGACAAGGAGGAAAAACAACAAAGTGAAAGTCACAGAGGCTTGTGATACACAGGGAGATACAGAATAAGGAGAATTTTCCAAAATCCACACAAAGACAGACAGACAGAGGGATGGAAAGAAAGAAATGAAGAAAAGAGAGAGTAAGGAAGATCAAGAAAAAGAAAATAGACAGACAGAGATGTAAAGGGAAGAAAGATGAAAAAGAAAACCAAAAGACATAGAAACAGAAAAAAAAAGAATGAGAAATGAGAGAAAAAAGGGAGGAAGAAAAAGAGAGAAGAAAAAGAAAAGACAGAAAGAAAGAGAAAGAAAAAAAGAGAAAAAATGAAGGAAATAAAAAAGAGGGCAGGGCATTGTGGCTCACACCTATAATCCCAGCACTTTGGGAGGCTGAGTTGGAAGAATTGCTAGAGCCTAGGACTTTGAGACCAGCCCTGGCAACACAGTGAGACCCCGTCTCTACTGAAAAAGAAAAGAAAAGAAAAAAATCCGGGCATTGTGATGGCAGGCGCCTGTGGTCCCAGATCCTTTGGAGCCTGAGTTGAGAACATCGCTTGGGGTCGGGAGGTGGAGGCTGCAGCGGGTCTTGGTCAGACAAATGCTCTGCAGTCTGTTTCCGAGGCTGTCTTGAACTCCCGAGCTCTAGCGAACTGCCCTCCTCAGCCTCCGAAATTGCAGCCGCCACAACCAACGGTCCTGAAGGTGTCATTGACAGATTTTAGTAAACAGGGTGTTTCGCCATATTGCGAATTTGAACCCAGGCATTTGAAGCTGCAGTGACCCAAAGTCGCGCCACTGCACTGCACTCTGGGTGATAGAGGAAGACTCCATCTCTAAATAATTACATAAATAATAAAAACAATAACAATAATGACAAACAATAATACAAAGAAATAATAAGCAGCAATAATAATAAACAAACTCGTGGGAGTGAAAAACTATAAAAGGTAATTTAGATCACAATTAATTGCAGTTTATTTCAAGGAATTTTTTTCTTTAACCTGTCTCTCTTACCTTCTGAAACACTCAGACTGGAGGGCAAGGCATCATCACGGCTCACTTCAGCTTCGACATCACAGAATTAAGTGATTCCTGTAGTCTCAGCCACTTGGAAGGCTGAGATAGGAAGATCACCTGAGGGAGTCCTGGAAAGTCGAGGCGGCTGTAAGCCGAGATTGCATTCTTACACTCCAACCTGCCTCAAAAACTACAAATAAATAAAAGGTAAATGTAAAACAACAGCAACTTCAGTGTGTAGAAAGAGGAGCAAGAAAAATAAAAGAAAAACAAAACGAAGAGAAACTGAAAGTACTGTGGAAACAGTTGGAGAGGAAGAAACAACGCAAGGAAAAAGCGACACCTAGTGAATGCGGGCGGTACTGCTGCTGACCAAAGTTATCTGGTCTACCTTAGAAATCCCAAGTTGACGGTCAAGTCCAACGCTTGCCGCGGACATCAGGTGGGCACGGCGACCAGAGACCTGAGGACTGGGGCCTTAGGCCCTGGTCCCAGGTCTTCCAGACAGAGAAGCCCGCGGCCGTGTCAACTGGATGTTGCTTGCTTCCCGCAGTCGGCTGATTCGCGGGCTGATCGGGAAGCCAAACGCCAGCATCTAATCGACAGGGTCCACCCTAAAGACCAAATGTGGTGCTCGCGGAGGGAAGCGATCAGACGCAGTTGGAACCTTATCACACAGAACCGGCCCAGGTTTGAGGCCGTCTAACTTGGCAGACCTGCCAGCCATTTCCCCGCAGTCCGCTGGTTGACCCGGACAGAGAAGAGGAGTAAAGACACAAGGGTAGTGACTAGCTAGTCTTTCATCCCAGCACCCCTGAGGCGGGGAGAGGGACTGTGACCCCAACAGCCACCCACGGGCATCGCGCGAACACTACTCAGGCAGGGACTGCAGGGGCAAAACCTCTGACACCCGCGCCTCAGCCATTCGCACGAGGCTCGAAGAATCCGGTCCCAACTCGTGGAGGAATTCCCAGCGGGATGGGAGAAAGAAGCTCAATCAGAGAGGTGGAACATCGAGCAGGGGCGCCAACCCTACCTCGCAACCCCCAGCGCTGCATCTTGGAAAGCCTGCTGTTGGGGAACGACCCCTCCCAAATGCACGGCCGACGCCAATGTTATCTCGCGAGAGACAGCCCTGCATGCCCTGGGGCTCCGGGGCGGGGGGCCTGAGCAGGCCCGGGAACTAAGTCCCCGGGGGCAAAAGGAGGGAAGAAGGAAGGTAGAGGTCCAGGGCTGAATTATACAGGACACGCCACAACGCTAGCTTTCCCGCACACTGGTTGAGAGCCCCTTGTGTGGAGGGCTGACTTTCAATAGGTTGCAGTGAGGGAGTTGCTCTGCTCCATAGGAAACCCTGACCCAGAAGCAGGGCGTTTACCAATAGTTTAGTATCAGATTCCCCATGAGCATGTTATGTGACGGGCCAGGGAGCAAACGCCTTTCTGGCCGCACCCCGTTTTTTAGGATGGGGGGCCGCACCCCGTTTTTTAGGATGATAAGACCGGAGCAAGGTCTTGGCGCACAGCGGGGCGGAGCGTCCGGCCGGTGGCAAAGGCTGGGGACTGGCTATCTGAGGCCAACCGAGTCTTGCCAGCGCTGCTGCATCCTTTCTTCTGGGCGGGATTCTGATTTAGAGGCGTTCAGTCATAATCCCACAGATGGTAGCTTCACCCCATTGGTTCCTCAGTCAAGCACATACACCAAATGTGTGAAACTTTGATTCCTCTCATACTCAGCAGGATTACCATGGTAGCAACACATGGGCAACAACACATGGAGAACACACGCAGTAAAACTAACCTGTCTCACATGGGTCTAACCATGATGTTTTCCAGGGCATGCACTCCGCTTTTAGATTAATCCATTCCACTTTGCCTTGCCCTTCACAAAGAAAAGAGAACTCGCTGGCCACAGTGGCTCACGCCTGTAATCTCGGCACATTGAAAGGCTGAGGCTGACAGATCACCTGATGGCAGGAGTTCGAGTCCAGCGTGGCCAACATGGTTAAACCCTGTCTCTATGAAAATACAAAAATTAGCTGGGCATAATAACGGGTGCCTGTTAACCCAGCTCCTCGGTAGGCTGAGGCAGTAGAATCGCCTGAAACCAGGAAGCGGATGTTGCAGTGAGCCGAGATTGCTCCATTGGGCTCCATCCTGAGCCTCTAAGCGAGACTCCATCTCAAAAAAGAAAAAAAAAAAAAAAAAAAAAAACGAGAACTCTCTCTAGGGCTCCCACCTGCTTTTGCAGAATCAGAGAATGTGATTGCCGGCAAAGGTTGAGGGGAGGGCGCAGGGGAAAGAAGGGGGAGGAGCAAAGGCTGGAGGCACAATAGCTCACTCTGGAACCTTTCCAAGTTTAGTGGGGACAATTTTGAAACTAGCTGACTCTGGAAATTACACATAATTCATAGTATTATTGCTTCTTTGAAAGGTGAGCGGTTCATGATTTTTTTTCTCAGCATTTATTCATTTACTTGTAATAAGTGCATTTAGTTTCATACAGTTTACATACAACCGGTTTGACTGTATCTGCAGAGATATAGGATAGTTTTTCTTAATGATAAGCCCTAGGGTGGAGCTACAATGCACTTTCCGTTGTGAACCCTGAAAACTTGAGAGAGGTCTCAGTTAATTTAGAAAGTTTACGTAACCAAGGTTCAGGACGCATACCCGTGACAGCCTCAGGAGGTTCTGAGGACATGTGCCTAAGGTAAACAGAGAACATTATCGTTTTATACATTCTAGGGAGACATGAGACATCAATCAAAGTATGCAAGATGAACATTGGTTCGGTCTGCAAAGGCGGGACAAATTAGCAAACGCGGGAAGACTGAAAGTGAGGAGGGGACTTCCTGGTCAAAGGTAGTTAAGAGACAAATGGTTGCATTCTTTGGAGTTTCTAATTAGCCTCTCCAAAGGAGGCAATCAAATATACATTTATCGCTTGAAACCAGGAGGCGAATGTTGCAGTGAGCCGAGATTGCTCCACTGGGCTCCAGCTTGAGCATCTGAGCGAGACTCCATCTCAAAAAAGAAAAAAAAAAAGAGAAAAGAGCAGAGGAGTGACTTTGAATAGAATGGCAGGTTGGCCCTAAACAGTTGCCAGCTTGACTTTTCCCTTTACTTTAGTGATTTGGAAGCCTCAAGATTTATTTTTCTTTCACACACACAATTTTTAAAACCCAGGTAGAACTGTTCATGCTTACTAAAAAAAAAAAAAAAAAAAAAAAGGAAGAAAGAAAAACAAATGATAGCCTAGGCGCCCTGGCTTATTTCTGTAAACTCAGCACTTTAAGAGGCTGAGGTGGGTGGATCATCTGAAGTCAGGACTTCGAGAACAGACTGGCCAACATGGCGAAATGACGTCCCTACTAAAAATACAAAAATTTGCTGGGAGTAGAGGCAGGCACATGTAATACCAGCTAGTGGGGAGGCTGAGGCAGGAGAATCGCTTGAATCCAGGAGGCAGAGGTTGCAGTGAGCCGAGATGGCGCCATTGAACTTCAACCTGGGCTACAAGAGCGAAACTGTCTCTGTCTCTAAATAAATAAAGAAATAAGCATTCCCAGCCAGGGTGGAGGTTTCCTAGGCAACAAGGCATTGGGGGAGGGACAGAAGGAGTGCATCTGAGGTCAGGGTGGGGCCCGAGAGAAACCAGTTTTCCCTGGCTGTGCGCGGGCGGCCAGAAGTTTTGGTGTGATGCCTCCATTTTCAATAACAGTGACCGCTAGGTGACGCCAAATGACAACCGAACGACGTTCCAGCCTGGAATGAGTGGGGTCACTGGTTTAGGGGTTGTCAAGGAAGGAGAAAGAGATGGAGGCCCATGGGGTCGCCGGTCTTCTGATCTCTCCTGGATTACGTTTCCGGGCCCGAGACACCCTCCCAGACAATCCCCGCAGCTCTTCAACCAGTGTCCCTGGGGAAAAGATGATCAGTTCTCAGAAAACATTCAGACAGGCAAGAACATGCGCTCACGTGAGCACATGACAAGTATACAACTTTATATGTGATAGTGAGCTTTCTTTTGCAAAATGTCTTCGTGATGCATTTCACTACATAGTATTGTTGAAAACATCAAATTATAGGAGTGAGCACAGTGGCTCAAGCCTGTAATCCCAGGACTTCTGAAGACCAAGGTGGGAGGCTGGATAGAGGACAGGAGTTTGAGACTAACCTGGGCAACACATCGAGAGAGATTACCACTACTTAAAAATATTGCCCAGCATTGTGGCACATGCCTATATTTCCAGCTACTCAGGAAGCTGAGGCAGGAGGATTGCTTAAGCCCAGGATTCAACGTTGCAGTGAGTGAGCTGTGAACAGGCGACCAGAGTTTTTTTGTTCTCTACAGCTTACATTTTCAGTAACGGTTGCCGCTAGTTGTCGCCCAAAGACAACTAAAACACGTGTCATCCTGGAATACGTGGGATCCCTGATGGAGGGGTGGGTGAGGAAGTAGGAGGGGACGGAGGCACACGGAGTCGCCCATTTTCTCATGATTCCCGTTGGACTACTTTTCTGGGTGCAGAGCATCCTCCCAGAAAGTCCCCAAAACCATTCAACCAGAGCTCCTGAAAAAAACAGTCGCACTCTCTGCCCATCGGATCATCCGGAATTTCCATTTATCCATTGAGAAGAATGCTCCATTGGAGTTTGGCGCAGGTTACGGTTACAGGCAGGGGCTGCCTCAGACAGAAGTCTAGTCTACAGAGTTTCACAGTAGACCCTAGGTTCAATCTCTCCCAAACTCAGAGTAGCAATATCTGTCACAGTAGAATGAAGTGCATGAAATGCGTGCTCCGAAGAAAGCGTGTTTCACACAGATGATTTGCACACTTATTCTTGTCCCTAGGCCAGTTGTTTCTTCCAAAATACCCATTACTCAATCGTTCACCCTCTCGTGAACCACTTAGGAATCTTGTTCTATGAATCCTGGAGCTTCAATATTTGACATCTTCAGAAGAACATGAATGCTATCCTAGCCTGGTAGCAATAAGGTACCATTTCTCAGAAAACACGCACCTATGCACACAAGCAAGCATGTATACACACATGCCCGCATCATATCTATACAATTTTACACTGTGATAGTGAGCTTTCTTTCCCTAGATAACTTCGTAATTGCTTTCGCTACCTAGTATTGTTTAAAATATCAAATTATAGGTGCTGGGTGTGGAGGTTTGACTCTAGTCAAAGCACTTTGCAGGCAAAGCTGGGAGAATCGCTTGAGGTGGGGAGTGTGAGAACAGCCTGGAAAACATAGCAAAATCTAATCTCTACTAAAAATAAAACAAAATTAGCTAGGCGTTGTGGGGTGCACCTATAGTCTCAGCTACTTAAGAGGTTGAGGCAAGGATTGCTTAAGAACAGGAGTTTGAGATCCTATGATACTCACTCCTGCAACACTGCTGTGGCCCATGAATTGGCTACATGACCAATGACACGGAAGGAACATGATTACAAAATTCCTGGCAAAAAAAAAAAAATAGAAAAACTTTTGTGGATAAACTTCTCTCACTGGGTAAATTACATAAAGATATGTCTGTTCTATATGAATCCCTACTAAGGGGTAACCGTATCAGAGCATGATTTTGATAATGATGTGGACAGAATGTCTTGTTCCGTGAGTATGGGTCATTCTTACTTCCCTGTCACCCCCATCATCACCCAATGGGCTTATAAACAAGGTGAACATAGTAGCAGAAATAGAAGCAATGCACGGGCTAAGCAATATGAACTTTGAATCCCAAAGGCCAGTCTGGCTACAGTCAATTCTGAATGTTTAATTTGACAGCAGCACAGATCTACACTGAGTCTTTGATATGACATCATTTCCAGGGTGATCCACCAGGCACCTGGTAGTAAATTTATTACGTTGAATAACTTTTATAATATAGGCGGCAACAGTTTGTACTCACTGGAGTAGGCTCTTACTATGGATACAAATTTGCTTTCCCTGGGTGGAATTCTGCCAAAACTACCCTCCATGGACTCACAGAATCCCTCATCCATCCCTATGATATTCCACTTAGCATTGCTCAGACCAAGAAACTCACTTCACAGCCAAAGTGTAGCAGTGTGCTCATCTTCACGGATGTCAGTGGACTTACCATGCTTTCCATTATCTGGAAGCAACTGGATTAATAGAATGATAGGTTTGTCAGCATTTCCAGCCACCCTAACACCTATATCTCCCTGTGCACCCTAAGGGACTCCACAGAATGGTGAATTAGATACATGTATCCAAAGGAACTACATACATTTGTGTTCCCCCATCCAAACCTCCAATCGTATGTAGTTTAATATTTAAAGTTGCTGAAGTTAGCTGTAGACAAAGGACAAAAATTAGAAGTGCAGAGGGAATGGGTTCCTTCATGTGGGTAAAGGAGAGAGACTTACAAAACCTGCTTAATGTGGCTTTTTGCAGTCTTTTTGCTGCTCACAGCTGAACCACATGAACTTCTAGTGTTTTGGACTCATCCAAACCTCAACATTAGCTTTAAGAGCTCCTTGATTTTCCAGCAGGAGAAAAGTGAACATGCAAAGCTCTCAGGTTCATTGTTATAATCCTCTCAAGGATCAGTCTCATTAGCAGACAGCAGAGTCTTGATCTCTTGCTTCACCAAACTAACCACTTGGCCGAGAGAATTTGCTGTTGGTCCTGGGGGAACTTCTCATATCCCTTGCAAGCTCTTCAAGTATTTGTTCCTTTTCCCCTTTCAGAAAGTTGTGTTTATCTCAGCATGCCATAGTCATCTCCAAAATTAAATAATTGTGACGTATCTAAGATTTTATAGCATTTGTAAACAACATATTAACCTTCCATTTTCATCGATGCTGGTAGAAGGCATGAGACACTGAAGTATGAAAAAAAATACCTACTATTTACTGCTTACCTGGAGGCAAAAGCCTCATATTTGTATTAGTTCTCCTTGTCCATACTACGTTTTTTGAAGGATTTCAAAAGGCTCATATGGACATTGTACATGGGGAAGATTTGTGTCATAGCTGAGCAGACTCAAGACTAAGAAACCTCAATCTTTTTAAAGTAGGTTACATGGAAGCCTGTCCAACCTTTGCGTCACAAAGAAAAATTGTCTTTATTATATTGATTGAGTAATTTATCTGCCATTCACCTGAAGAGAAAAACTACTACCCTTTTTCCAGGTTATTTGTGTACAAAAATCTTTGAAAAATAACGTGGAACAGGACAGGTATGTGATGTAATCCACAACAAAACAACAAACTCTAAGAGACTTGTGGAGAACTACATCTCAGTAGCATGCATCTTTCCCATTAAATGTTGCACTAAGCAATCCTGTGATAAAAGACAATCCATTGAAGACTTTCGACATGAAGACTAACCTCGGTTGTTTTGTGTTGTGGGATTGTTCAAGTGATTCTCCAGTGTCAGCCTCCAAAGTAGCTGGGAATACAGTCTCCCAAGACCACGCTCAGCTTATTTTTGTATTTTTAGTAGAGGCGGGGTTTTACCATATTGGCCAGACAGGTCTCGAACTCCTGATCTCAGGTGGTCCGCCTGCCTTGGCCTCACAAAGTGCTAGGAATATAGGCATGAGCCTCCGTGCCCGGCCCCAGAAATGAAAGTTCTAGTGCGCAGTAATGTAATTCTGACAGATAAATGACAGGTGAGAGTAAGTGAAAAATCTAACACAATTTAACATTTTTACATATTTAGACATATTGAAATTGGTTAGCTTATTGGAAAAAGTTAAATGACTAGTAATATATACAGCATATTTATTCTGAATGAATTGCTAATCTAGATTTGAGACATGAAATAATTATTTTTACAACACAGAAACATAAACTGCATTTCCATATACAATTAACAATTTGACAGTAAATTAAGAAAACAATTGTTCGCAACAACATTAAAATAATATAATTCTTAGCAATAAATTTAATAAGGAGGTAAATATCTTGTACAATAAAAAATACAGGATCAGAATGTTTATGAAAAAAACTAAAAAGGACTTAAATAACTGGCAACAAATTCCATGTTCCTGAACCGGAAGATTTAATGAAGTTAAGATGACAATACCACTGCCCAAAGGAGTGTACAGATGTACTGTAATCCCAAGTTTTCATTTTTCCAACTTTTCTTCTGCAAAAAGAAAATAGCTCATTTAAAACTTCATATGGAATTTGAACATCCTCTGAATGTACAGAATAATCTTGAAAAGAAGGACAAAATTAGGTGGCTCACAATTTTAAATTTGAAAACATAAAAAGCTACTAAAATTATAACAGTTTGATAGTGGCATAAGAACAATTGTGGAGATCAAATAAATAAAATAGATACTCCAAAAAACCCTTTCATAAATTATTGTTTGTCTTTTTAAAAGTGTGCCTTAATCATTATGTAAAGACAGTTTGTTACACAAGAAATGCTGGGAAAACAAGTCCACATTTAAACCAGTAAAGTTGAATCTTTATCACATTCCAAGTAGAAAAATTAAATAAAAATTGATTAAAGATATAAAAACAAGTGTTAAACTTTAGTGGTTTCTAATAGTTGTTTTTATTTAACTGGGGACAGCACTAACATGAACAACTTTATACACACAAACTAGAAAACTTTAACGAAATAAATAGATTCCTAGATATACACACTCTCTCAAGATTAAGCCAGGAAGACAATGATTTCCTGAACAGACCAGTAAAAAACTCTGATATTAAATAGGTAATAAGTAGCTTGCCAATCAAAAAAAAAAAGCTCTGGACTTTATGGACTTACAGCCAAATTCTACCAAATGTACAAAGAAGAGCTGGTACAATTCCTACAGAAACTATACCCAAAAATTGAGAAGGAGGGTCTTCTCCCCAACTCATTCTATGAGGACAGCATGATCTTGACACCAAAACAGGCAGAGACACAACAAAAACACAAAAAATTAGCCGGGCTTGGTAGCAGACACCTGTAGTCCCAGCTACTTGAGAGGCTGAAGCAGGAGAATGGCGTGAACTCAGGAGGCAGAGATTGCATTAAGCAGAGATCGCGCCAGTGCAATCCACTCCAGCCTGGGCAACAGAGGGAGACACCGTCAAAAAAAAAAAAAAAAAAGAAAGAAGGGAAAGAAAACTTCAGGCCAATATTCTTGACGAACATCAATACAAAAGTTCTCAACAAAATATTTGGGAGGCAAATCCAGCAGCACATCAAACAGGTAATCCGTCATGATCAAGTAGGCTTCCTCCTTAGGACGCAAGGTTGGTCCATCATGTGCAAATCAATAAATGTAATACATTACATAAACAGAACTAAAAACAAAAAAAAGATGATTATCTCAATAGACGCAGAAAATAATAAAAGCCGTCTATAAGAAACCCACAGCCAACAATGTGTTGAATGGGCAAAAGCCGGGAACATTATTTTTTAAAACCAGTAGAAGGCAAGAATGCCCTCTCTTGCCATTTCTATTCAACTTAGTATTGACAGTACTGACCAGAGCAATCAGGCTAGAGAAAGAAATCCGAAGAACATCCAAATAGGAAGAGAGAAAGCCAAACTATTTCTGTTTGCAGATAACATAATTCTCTATCTAGAAAACCCTGTAGTTTCATCTACAAAGCTTCTTTAGTTAACAAACAGCTTCAGCAAAGTTTCAAGATACTAAATCAATGTGCAAAGATCACTAACATTTTTCTACACCAACGATAGCCACACTGACAGCAAAATCAGAAAGGCCATCCCATTCACAATTGCCACTAAAATAATAAAATATCTGGAAATGCAGCTCACCAGGGAGGTGAAAGAGCTCTACAATGAGATTTACAAAACACTGCTCAAAGAAATCAGAGAAGATACAAACAAATGGAAAACCATCCCATGCTCACGGATAGGAAGATCCAATATCACTAAAATGGCTATACTTCACAAAGAAATTTACAGATTTAATACTATTTCCATCAAACTGCCAATGAAATTTTTTACGGAGCTAGAAAAAACTATTTGAAAACTCATATAGGCCGGGGGCTGTGGCTCACACCTGTAATCCCAGCACTCTGGGAGGCCAAGGGGTGTGGATCATGAGGTTAGGAGATCCAGACCGTCCTGGCCAACATGGCAAAACTCCTTCTCTACTAAAAATACAAAAAATAGCTGGGAGTAATGGCAGCGCTTGTAATCCCAGCTACTTGGGAGGCTGAGGCAGGAGAATCCCTTGAACATGTATATAATATATACATATGTTATACATATATTTATTATACTTTAAGTTCTAGGGTACATGTGCACAACGTGCAGGTTTGTTACTTATGTATACATGTGCCATATTGGTGAGCTGCACCCATTAACTCGTCATTTACATTAGGTATATCTCCAAATGCTATCCCTCCCCCCTCCCCCCCAACAACATTCCCCAGTGGGTAATGTTACCCTTCCTGTGTCCAAGTGTTCTCATTGTTCAATTCCCACCTATAAGCGAGAACATGTGGTGTTTGTTTTTTTTTGTCCTTGTGATAGTTTGCTGAGAATTATTTTTTCCAGCTTCATCCATGTACACACAAAGGACATGAACTCATCATTTTTTATGGCTGCATAGTATTCCATGGTGTATATGGGCCACATTTGCTTGATCCAGTCTATCATTGTTGGACATTTCGGTTGGTTCCAAGTATTTGCATTGTGAGTAGTGCCACAATAAACATACGTGTGCATGTGCCTTTATAGCAGCACCTAACATGACTTTTCTTATTTTCTTAGATTGTGAGTTTCTTTCAGACTAGGACTCTGCTGAGTCAGCTCTCTGTCCTCCCTGTACTCCTTATCACAGTGCTTGGCTATGACAGATGTTTAATAAATATTTGAGAAACACAGTAAATCCATATGAGTGACACAATGTTACGGAAAACTCTGGTCATTCAACAAATTCTATTCTCCCATTTATTAGGGACACAGCAGAATTACATTTCTTAGCCTCATTTGCATTAGATGTGGAAACGTGACCAGTTATTGTTAATGGTTGTAGAGTGAGATGGATGTGAGTCACATTAAGATGAGTCCATCAAGTCTTCTCGCATGCATTTCTTAAAGTACTTTATTTTCAGGGGACTGAACACAAACGGCAACCACGACTCATGGATGATGAAGACAAATAATGAAAGAACTTTGAGTTTCTGAATGACCACATGGAGAGGAGGTGCCTTTTCAATTTGGCCACCGAACAACTCTGTGATGTGTGCTAAAAAGTGCTGTTAATCTACTGCAAATTAGGGATGTGCTGGTATTTGACAGTTCAGCATAATCTAAAACATGCACTTAAAAACCTATTCACTGAATTAATTTAAAAGGCATTTTTATAGTACACTTAAGATGACAAACGTTAAGGTGGTCTTGCAATTTTTACCCTTCCATTTTGACCGTACTATGTTATATTAGAGAACTTGAGCCACATAAATGATCAGTTTTTATTGCGTCTATTTGATTCTTCTCTCTTTTCTTCTTTACTAGTCTTGCTAGCAGTCTATCAATTTTGTTGATCGTTTCAAAAACCAGCTCCTGAATTCACTGATTTTTTGAAGGGTTTTTTATGTGTCTATTTCTTTCAATTCTGCTCTGATCTTAGTTATTTCTTGCCTTCTGCTAGCTTTTGAATGTGTTTGCTCTTGCTTCTCTAGTTCTTCTAATTGTGATGTTAGGGTGTCAATTTTAGATCTTCTCTGCTTTCTCTTGTGGGCCTTTAGTGCTATAAATTTCCCTCTACACGCTGCTTTGAATGTGTCCCATAGATTCTGGTATGTTGTGTCTTTGTTCTCGTTGCTTTCAAAGAACATCTTTATTTCTGCCTTCGTTTCGTTATGTACCCAGTAGTCATTCGGGAGCAGGTTGTTTGGTTTCCATGTAGTTGAGCGGTTTTGAGTGAGTTTCTTAATCCTGAGTTCTAGTTTTATTGCAGTGTGGTCTGAGAGAGAGGTTTTTATAATTTCTGTTCTTTTACAATTTGCTGAGGAGTGCTTTACTTCCAACTATGTGGTCAATTTTGGAATAAGTGCGGTGCGGTGCTGAGAAGAATGTATATTCTGTTGATTTGGGGTGGACAGTTCTGTAGATGTCTATTAGGTCTGCTTGGTGCAGAGCTGAGTTCAATTCCTGGATATCCTTGTTAACTATCTGTCTCATTGATATGTCTAATGTTGACAGAGGGGTGTTAAAATCTCCCATTACTATTGTGTGGGAGTCTAAGTCTCTTTCTAGGTCTCTAAGGACTTGCTTTATGAATCTGTGTGCTCCTATATTGGGTGCATATATATTCAGGATAATTAGCTCTTCTTATTGCATTGATCCCTTTATCATTACGTAATGGACTTCTTTGTCTCTTTTGATCTTTATTGTTTTAAAGTCTGTTTTATCAGACACTAGGATTGTAACCCCTGCCTTTTTCTGTTTTCCATTTGCTTGGTAGATCTTCCTCCATCCCTTTATTTTGAGCCTATGTGTGTCTCTGCACGTGAGATGCGTTTCCTGAATACAGAACACTGATGGGTCTTGACTCTTTATCCAATTTGCCAGTCTGTGTCTTTTAATGGGAGAATTTAGTCCATTTACTTTTAAGGTTAATATTGTTTTGTGTGCATTTGATCCTGTCATTATGATGTTAGCTGGTTATTTTGCTCGTTAGTTGATGCAGTTTCTTCCTAGCCTCGATGGTCTTTACAACTTGGCATGTTTTTGCAGTGGCTGGTACCGGTTGTTCCTTTCCATGTTTAGTGCTTCCTTCAGGAGCTCTTTTAGGGCAGGCCTGGTGGTGACAAAATCTCTCATCGTTTGCTTGTATGTAAAGGATTTTATTTCTCCTTCACTTATGAAGCTTAGTTTGAATGAATATGAAATTCTGGATTGAAAATTCTTTTCTTTAAGAATGTTGAATATTGTTCCCCACTCTTCTGGCTTGTAGAGTTTCTGCCGAGAGATCAGCTGTTAGTCTGATGGGCTTCCCTTTGTGGGTAACCCGACCTTTCTCTCTGGCTGCCCTTAACATTTTTTCCTTCATTTCAACTTTGGTGAATCTGACAGTTATGTGTCTTGGAGTTGCTCTTCTTGAGGATTATCTTTTTGGTGTTCTCTGTATTTCCTGAATTTGAATGTCACCCTCCCTTGCTAGATTGGGGAAGTTCTCATGGATAATATCCTTCAGAGTGTTTTCCAACTTGCTTCCATTCTCCTCATAACTTTCAGGTACACCAATCAGATGTAGATTTGGTCTTTTCACACAGTCCCATATTTCTTGGAGGTTTTGTTCATTTCTTTTTATCTTTTTCTCTCTAAACTTCTTTTCTCACTTCATTTCATTCATTTGATCTTCCATCACTGACACCCTTTCTTCCAGTTCATCGAATTGGCTACTGAGGCTTGTGCATTCATCACGTACTTCTCGTACATTGGTTTTCAGCTCCATCAGGTCCTTTACGAACTTCTCTGCATTGGTTATTCTAGTTAGCTATTCATCTAATTTTTTTAAAGGTTTTTCACTTCTTTGCCATGGGTTTGAACTTCCTCCTTTAGCTCGGAGTAGTTTGATCGTCTGAAGCCTTCTTCTCTCAACTCGTCAAAGTCATTCTCTGTCCAGCTTTGTTCCATTGCTGGTGAGGAGCTGTGTTCCTTTGGAGGTGGAGAGATACTCTGATTTTTAGAATTTTCCGTTTTTCTGCTCTGTTTTTTCCCCATCTTTGTAGTTTTCTCTCCTTTGGTCTTTGATGATTGTGATGTACAGATGGGATTTTGTTGTGGATGTACTTTCTGTTTGTTAGTTTTCCTTCTAACAGTCAGAACCCTCAGCTGCAGGTCTGTTGGAGTTTGCTGGAGGTCCACTCCAGACCCTGTTTGCCTGGGTATCAGCAGTGGAGGCTGCAGAACAGCGGATATTGGTGAAAAGCAAATATTGCTGCCTGATTGTTCCTCTGGAAATTTTGTCTCAGAGGAGTACCCGGCCGTGTGAGGTGTCAGTCTGCCCCTACTGGGGATGCTTCCCAGATAGGCTACTCGGGGGTCAGGGACCCACTTGAGGAGGCAGTCTGTCTGTTCTCAGATCTCCAGCTGCATGCTGGGATAACCACTACTCTCTTCAAAGCTGTCAGACAGGGACATTTAAGTCTGCAGAGGATTCTGCTGCCATTTGTTTGGCTATTCCCTGCCCCCAGAGGTGGAGTCTACAGAGTCAGGCAGGCCTCCTTGAGATGCAGTTGGCTCCACCCAGTTGGAGCTTCCTGGCTGCTTTGTTTACCTACTCAAGCCACGGCAATGGTGGGCGCCCCTCCCCCAGGCTTGTTGTTGCCTTGCAGTTTGATCTCAGACTGCTGTGCTAGCAATGATTGTGGCTCTGTGGGCGTAGGACCCTCTGAGCCAGGTGCAGGATATAATCTCCTGGTATGCCGTTTGCTAAGACCTTTGGAACAGTACAGTGTTAGGGTGGGAGTCACCCGATTTTCCAGGTGCAATCTGTCACCCCTTTCTTTGACTAGGAAAGGGTATTCCCTGACCCCTTGCACTTCCTGGGTGAGGCGATGCCTCACCATGCTTTGGCTCACATGGGGTGCGCTGCACCCACTGTCCTGCACCCACTTTCTGACACTCCCCAGTGAGATGAGCCCGGTACCTCAGTTGGAAATGCAGAAATCACCTGTGTTCTGCATTGCCGATGCTGGGAGTTCTAGACTAAGGCTTTTCCTATTCGCCCATCTTGGCTCCACCCCCTCTCTAATTAAATTTTAATGTGAATAGTCTGAAATTATTTTTTCTATATCCTTCAGTTTTTTCATAATTCTTCTCTAACTTTTAGGTTCTATGTTTATGCCCCTTATATTTTCCAGAAATGTTTCTGAAGATTATTGCCCATTTTAAAGTTAAACTAATTTTTTATTTAGTTTTTTGTTTATTCTGTATTCTGCTTATCAATCGCTTGTCAGCTGTGTAGTTTGCACATATTTCCTCTCATTTTCTTTCTTTTTTTTTGAGACAGTCTTGCTCTGTCACCCATGCTGGAGTGCAGTGGCACGATCTCAGCTCACTGTAACCTCCACCTCCTGGGTTCAAGAGATTCCCTGGCCTCAGCCTCCTGAGCAATTGGGCTTTCAGGAACCACGCCCGGCTAATTTTTGTATTTTTAGTAGACACAGTGTTTCACCATGTCAGCCAGGCTGGTCTAGAACTCCTGACCTCAGGTGATCCACCAGCCTCAGCCTCCCAAAATACTGAGTTTATAGGTGTGAGCCATCGTCCCTGGCCAATAGAATATTATTTATACAATGGAGTATTAGCTAGCCATAAAAATAAATACAGAACTGATATGTGCCACAACATGGATAAATAATGAAAACACGCTCAAAGAGAAAAGCCAAAGAAAAAAGGTCACATATTATATTATTATATTTCTATAAAGTGACTAGAATAGAAAACTAGAAATAGAAGCCGGGTGTGATGGCTCACGCCTGTAATCCCAGCACTTTGGGTGGCCGAAGCAGGCAGATCACGATGTCAGGAGATCGAGACCATGCTGGCTAACATGGTGAAACCCCGTCTCTACTAAAAATACAAAGAAAAATAGCTGGGCGTGCTGACAGGCATCTGTAGTCCCAGCTACCCTGGAGGCTGAGGCAGGAGAATGGCGTGAACCAGGGAGGTGGAGCTTGCAGCGAGCCGAGATCGTGCCACTGCACTCTAGCATGGGTGACAGAGTGAGACACCAAAAAAAAAAAAAAAAAAAAGGAAAGAAAGAAAGAGAGTACTAGAGATAGAAAGTCAATCAGTGGTTACCAAGGAAATTCGGTGGATGAATGATAAATTACTGCTTAATGGATATGGAGTTTTTTTGGTGAAAGGGTGATGAAACTATTTTGGAATTTGATAAGGGTGACAGTTGCATAGCATTGTAAATAAACTGAAAAGCACTGAATTTTACACTTTATATTAGATAGTATGTAGAACTCTATATTGTGTAAATTTTAGCTGACTAAAACATTTTAACAAGCAAAGAAAAATAAACTGTAGGCTTTGTGTGGTGGCTCACACCTATAATCTCAGTTTTTTTCAGAGGCTGATGCAAGCAGATCACGAGGTGAAGAGATCGAGACCATCCTGGACAACATGGCGAAACCCCGTCTCTACTAATAATACAAAAATTAGCCAGGCTTGGTGGCACGCCCTTATATTCCCAGCTACTCAGGAGGCTGAGGCAGGAGAATCACTTGAACCTGGGAGGTGGAGGTTGCAGTGAATCACTTGAACCCGGGAGGTGGAGGTTGCAGTGAGCCGAGATCATGCCACTCCACTCCAGTCCCGTGAAAGAGCGAGAAGAGAGAGACTCTGATAAAGAAAGAAAGAAAGAAAGAAAGAAGAAAGAAAGAAAGAAGAAAGAAAAAAGAAAATAAGGAAAGAAAGAAAAGAAAGGGAGGGAGGAAGGAAGGAGAAAGAAAGAGAAAGAAAGAAAGAAAGAAAGAAAAGGAAGGAAGGAATGAAGGAAGAGGAAAGAAAGAAAGAAGAAAGAAAGAAACGGAAGGAAGGAATGAAGGAAGAACAAAAGAAAGAGAAAGAAGAAAGAAAGGAAGAAAGAAAAGAAACGAAGGAGAAAGAAAGAAAGAGAAAGAAAAAGAAGGAAAGAAAGAAAGAAGAAAGAAAGAAAAAGAAAGAAGAAAGAAAGAAAGAAGAAAGAAAGAAAGAAAGAAAGAAAGAAAGAAAGAAAGAAAGAAAGAAAGACAGAAAAAAGAAATACTATGAAACAGGAGGGCAAATGAGGGAGCCCTGGAAAACGATTCTGTCTCCACTTTCAAAAAAGATCGCCCCCTCCAAAAAAAAGATCCCCAAAGCTCTGACCGAGAAGGTCTTCTCCTTGGATCCCAGAGCAGTGGTCTGAGGATCTGTCACATTCTACACCAGCCTGAGTGCTCAGTCCCGCACACCCCTAGGCCACTTTCTGCTCTGAAAGACCTTCGGAGGACACAGAGCAATTTCCAAAGTTCTGAGAGTACAGTGGTAATTGATAGACAGCAAGGTCAACTCACTTCTTTAAGCCTTTCAAATTTAGGGGTCACACAGTTCAATTATGTCAATTTGTACGGGAAAAATTGAAGGTTTTCACTACTGTATTCCTCTCCATATTGGGTGTAGGGGGATTCCTTACCATTTTAATTATGCAGATTAATGAATGGAGAAAGTAAGGTTTTGTCCTTGGAAAGCTATCCTGGTGTTGGCTGCAGCCCAGTCAGATCCATGGAAGCCTTGAGCCTCTCAAGCCATCAGCCTATTGCCTTCCCCTGCCCATGTTATGGGTCCTGGGCATGTTACCAGAAGATGGGGTGCTTCTACCCCATGACAAAGCTGCCCCTATCCTCTATCTTTTTTCTTCTCATCACTCCATCAGCGTTAACTCCTCTTATGACCTTTAGCCTGAGAAGTCTGTGTGTGTATGCACAAACCTGTGGAAGTCTAATGATGCAGACATGAGTTTGCTTCATATGACGAGAAAATTGGCAAAAATCCCCAGGATCTCAGGGACTCATTCCCAAAACAAACCCCATGAGAGTGTTGAGCCCTGGCCTAGGAGGTCAGAATGCTCTTTTTTCCCTTGGACTCTGCCCACTTCATCATCTCTGGGCCAGTCCCTGCTTCTCTCCAGACCTCAGTTTTTCAGATATCCAATGAGATGTGAGATGTCAAAATGCTTAAGCCACAGCTCAACATGCATATGGTCTAACGTCCCTACCAACTAGGATTGGTGTAGCAAGGCTGTGATCAGGGTGTTCCCAGATCTTCCTCACTTGGGAAGAAATAGATGGGTTCTGCACTGGGCACATGGACCTTCTGTTCAAGAAGGGTCATACACACTTGATCTTTCAAGGCCCACAGACAATGTGTGCAAGTGAGCCCCACCTCCACCCCCCAACAGCTTCCCATGGAGCATAACAATATGTCCCCTGTCCTCTGAGTCTGGAAAGTAGTGACATCCTCACTTAACACATGGATTGATGGACCCTTTGTATAATTAAATCTTCCCCACTACTGCCTCCACCACTACGCAGATAGAAAAAAGTCTTAGGAAAGTGACATAACATCCAGAATTACACAGAGATTCCATGGCAAAGCTAGCACTTTAGTTAGGATTACATTTTCCTACATATAGAAGAAAACCCAGACCGGGTGCTGTAGTTCACGCCTGTTATCCCAACACATTGGGAGGTTGAGGCAGACGGATCACCAGAGGTCTGGAGTTTAAGACCAGCCTGACCAACATAGAGAAACCCAGTCTCTACCAAAAATACAAAATTTTCCAGGCGTAGTGGTGCATGCCTGTAATCCCTGCTTCTTGAGAGGCTGAGGCAGGAGAATCGCTTGAACCCGGGAGGTAGAGATTGTGGTGAACCGAGATCGCGCCATTGCACTCCAGTCTGGGCAATAAGAGTGAAACTCCGTCTCAAAAAAATTAAAAAAGAAAACCCAATATAATAGTGCAGATAAGAGAGAGAATGCTTTCTTTCTCATAAATAAGGATGTTAGAGCTGGGCAGTCTGACTCTGAACCGTACACGAAGGTAGTCAAAAATAGTCTGTCATTTTGCTAAAATGTTTTTCTTTTTTGAACTTTGTTTTAAGTTCAGGGGTATATGGGCAGGATGTGCAGGTTCTTTAAATATGGAAACATACGTCCCGAAGTTTGGTTGTGCAGATTGTTTTATCACCCAGGTATTAAGTCTACTAACTATTAGTTATTTTTTCTGATTCTCTCCCTCCTCTCACCCCCTACCTCCTGATAGGCCCTGGTGCGTGTTGCTCCCCTCCATGTTTCTGTGTGTTCTCATCATCTACCCTCCACTTATAAGTGAGAAAATGTGGTATTTGGTTTTCTGTTTCTGTTAGTTTTTTAAGGATAATGGCCTCCAGCTCCATCCATGTCCCTACAAAGGACATAATCTTGTGCTTTTTTATGGCTGCATAGTACTCCATGTTGTATATGAACTACGTTTTCTTCAACCAGTCTATTATTGATGAACATGTAGGCTGATTTGATGTCTTTGCTATTGTGAATAGGGCTGTGATGAACTTGAGCGTGCAGGTATCTTTATAATAGAATGACTTATATTTGTTTGGGTATATACCCAGTAATGAGATTGCTAGGTCAAATGGTATTCTTTTCTTTAGGTCTTTGAAGAATCACCACACTGTCTTCCACAACGTTTGAACTCGACCAACAGGGTAAAAATGTTGCTTTTTCTCCACAACTTTGTCAGCATCTGTGATTTTTTGATTTTTTCATGGTAACCATTATACCTGGTATAAAATGATGTCTCATTGTGGTTTGGATTTACATTTCTCTAATGGTCAGTGATGTTGAACTTCTGTTTCATACGCTTATTGGCTGCATGTATGTCTTCTTTCAAGAAGTGTTTCTGTGTGTCCTTTGGCCAATTTTTAATAAGGTTGTTTGTTTTTCTCGTGTAAATTTATGTTCCTTATGGATGCTAGAAATTAGATTATTGTCAGATGCACAGTTTGCAAAAATTTTCTCCCATTCTATACATTGTCTGTTTACTCTGTTGATAGTTTCTTTTGCTGTGCAAAAGCTCTTTAGTTTAATTAGATCCCATTTGTCAATGTTCTCTTTGTTCTAATTGCTTTTGCGCCTTCATCATAAAATATTTGCCCATGCCTATGTCCCGAATGGTATTGCCTAGGTTGTCTTCCAAAGTTTTTATAGTCTTGGGTTTTACATTTAAACCATGTTGAGTTTATTGTTGTATATGATGTAAGGAATCTTTCTTTATTTTTTAAATTTAAATTGGGTTCTGAAGTACAAGTGCAGAATGTGTAGGTTTGTTACATTGGTATATGTGTGCCATGGTGGTTTACTGCACCTATCAGCCCGTTATCCAGGCTTCAAGTCCCACATGCATTAGCTAGTTATCCTAATGCTCTCCCTCCCTTCGACTCCCATTCCCTGACTAGCCCCAGTTGTGTTGTTTCCCTTCCAGTGTCCATGTGTTCTTATTGTTCAACTCCCACTTATGAGTGAGAATATGCGGTGGTTAGTTTTCTGTTCCTGTGTTAGTTGCAGAGGATGATGGAGGAAGGGGTTCAGTTTCAATTTTTTGCACATGGCTAGGCAGTTATCCCAGCACCATTTATTGAGTACAGAGTCGTTTTTTCATTGCTTGTTTTTGTCAGGTTTGTCGAAGATCAGTTAGTTGTAGGTGTGCAGTCTTATTTCTGGGTCCTCTATTCTGTTTCATTGGTCTGTGTGTCTGTTCTTGTACCAGTACCATGCTGTTTTGGTTTCTGTAGCCCTGTAGCACAGTTTGAAGTTGGGTAGTGTGATGCCTCCAGCTTAGTTCTTTTTGTTTGGGGTTGTCTTGACTATTCAGGCCTTTGTTGGTTCCATATAAATTTTAAAATAGCTTTTCTAGTTTTGTGAAAAATGTCATTGGTAGTTTAACGGAAATACTATTAACTCTATAAATTTCTTTGTGGAGTGTGTCTACTTTAACAATATTAACTCTTTCTATCCATAAGCATGAAATGTTTTTCTATTTGTTTATGTCATGTCTGATTTCTTTGAGAAGTGGTTTATAGTTCTCCTTGTAGTGGCCTTTCACTTCTCTTGTTAGATACATTCCTTGGTATTTTATTCTTTTTGTGGTAACTGTGAATGAGTGTTCATTCACGATTTTGCTCTTGGCTTGACTGTTGTTGGTATATAAGGATTTAGTGCTAGTGATTTTTGCCCATTTATTTTGTATCTTGGGACTTTGTTAAAGATATTTATCAGCTTAAGAAGCTTTGGGGTTGAGACAATAGGGGTTTTCAAGATATAGAATCATGTCGTCTGACATCAGGTGTTGTTTAATTTCTTTTCTTTCAATTTGAATGCCTTTTTCTCTTACCTGATTGCTCTGCCCAGTACTTCCAATACTATCTGAAATAGGAGTCATGAGAGAGGGCATCCTTGTCTTGTGCCCGTTTTAAAAGGGAATGCTTTCAGCTTTTGCCCTTTCAGTATGATATTGGCTGTGGGTTTGTCATACATGGTTCTTATTATATTGAAGTATGTTTTTTTCAATACCTAGTTTATTGAGAGTTTTTACAAGAATGGATGCTGAATTTTATGGATGCAAAGATTTATCTGCATCTATTCAGACAATCATGTGGCTTTTGTCTTTAGTTCTGTTTATGTGATAAATCACATATTGATTTGTGTACGTTGAATTAAAGTTGCATCCCACACATGGAGCCTACTTGATTGTGGTGGATAAGCTTTCTGATGCGCTGCTGGATTTGGTTTGCCCCTATTTTGTTAAGAATGTTTGCATAAATGTTCATCAAAAATATTGGCATGAAGTTTTTTTTTTTCTTTTTTTATTTTATTATTATTATACTTTAAGTTTTAGGGTACATGTGCACAATGTGCAGGTTAGTTACATATGTACGCATGCACCATGCTTGTGTGCTGCACCCATTAACTCGTCATTTAGCATTAGGTATATCTCCCAATGCTATCCTTCTCCCCTCCCCCCTCATCACAACAGTCCCCAGAGTGTGATGTTCCCCTTCCTGTGTCCATGTGATCTCATTGTTCAATTCCCACCTATGAGTGAGAACATGCGGTGTTTGGTTTTTTTGTTCTTGTGATATTTTACTGAGAATGATGATTTCCAATTTAATCCGTGTCCCTACAAAGGACATGAACTCATCATTTTTTATGGCTGCATAGTATTCCATGGTGTATATGTGCCACATTTTCTTAATCCAGTCTATCATTGTTGGACATTTGGGTTGGTTCCAAGTCTTTGCTATTGTGAATAGTGCCGCAATAAACAAACGTGTGCATGTGTCTTTAAAGCAGCATGATTTATAGTCCTTTGTGTATATACCCAGAAATGGGATGGCTGGGTCAAATGGTATTTCTAGTTCTAGATCCCTGACGAATTGCCACACTGACTTCCACAATGGTTGAACTAGTTTACAGTCCCACCAACAGTGTAAAAGTGTTCCTATTTCTCCACATCTCCTCCAGCACCTGTTGTTTCCTGACTTTTTAATGATTGCCATTCTAACTGGTGTGAGATGGTATCTCATTGTGGTTTTGATTTGCATTTCTCTGATGGCCAGTGATGGTGAGCATTTTTTCATGTGTTTTTTGGGTGCATAAATGTCTTCTTTTGAGAAGCGTCTGTTCATGTCCTTCGCCCACTTTTTGATGGGGTTGTTTTCTTCTTGCAAATTTTTTGAAGTTTTGTTTTTTTTCTTGTGTGTCTGCCAGGTTTTGGTACCAGGATGATGTGGTCTCATAGAAAGAGTCGGGAAGGAAGCCCTCTGTTTCAGTTTTTTGAAATAATTTTAGTGGGAATTGTACCAGTTCTTCTTCATAAATGTCATAACCTTCAGCTTTTAATCTTTGTGTTTCTGATCTTTTTGTGGTTTGTAGGCTATTTATTACTGCCTGAATTTCAGAGCCTGTTGTTTGTCTTTTCAGGGATTCAATTTCTTCCTGGTTTATTCTTGAAGGGTGTATGTGTCCAGAAATTTATCCATTTCTACTGAATTTGTTATCTTATAGGCATAGAGGTGTTTATGATATTTTCTGATGGTTATTTTTATTTCTGTGGGGTCAGTGGTAACCCTTATTATTTCTGATTGTGTTCATTTTAATTTTTGATATTTTCTTCCTTATTAGTCTACTACTGGTGTATTTATATTATTGGTTTTTTCAAAGAAAAAGAAACAGCTCCTGAATTTGTTGATCTGTTGAATGGTTTCTCTTGTCCCTATCTCCATCATTTCAGGTCTGATTTTGGTTATTTCTTGTCTTCTGCTAGCTCTAGAACTTCTTTGCTCTTGTTCCTGTAGTTATTTTTGTTGTGAAGTTGTAACTTGAGACATTTCTGGCATTTTAATGTGGGCATTTAATGCCATAAATTTTCATCTTAATACTGCCTTAGCTGTGTCCCAGAGATTCTGGTATGTTTTGTCTTTGTTCTCATTGGTTTCAAAGAACTCCTTGATATCTGCCTTAATTTCATTATTTACCCAAAAGTTATTCAGGAGCAGGTGATTCAATTTCCATTTAATTTTATGGTTTTCAGTAAATTATTTCATCGTGAGTTTTAATTTGATTGTGCTGTGATCTGAGCCACTGTTTATTATGATTTCAGTTCTTTTGCATTTGCTGAAGAGTGTTTTACTTCTGGCTAAGTGACCAATTTCAGAGAAAGTGTCATGTAGTGATGAGAAGAATGTATATTCTGCTGTTTTCATGTGGAGAGTTCTGTAAATATATATCATGTCCATTTGATCCAGAGCTAAGTTCAGGTCCTGAACACCTTTGTTAATTTTCTGTCTCAATAATCTTTCTAATACTGTCAGTGGGATGTTAAAGTCGGTCACTATTATTGTGTGGTGTTCTAAGTCTCTTTCAAGATATCTAGAAACTTGTTATATGAATCTGGGTACTCTTGTGTTGGGTGCATATATATTTAGAATAGTTAATTCTTGTTGAATTGAATTCTTTGCCATTATGTAATGACCCTCTTTGTTGTTGTTGTTGTTTTTAATCTGTGTTGGTTTAAAGTCTGTTTTGTTGGAAAGTAAGACTGCAACCCTTGCTTTTTTAGGTTTTCCACTTGCTTGGTGAAATTTCCTCCATCCCTTTATTTTTAGCCTATGTGTGTCCCCGCATGTGAGATGGGTGTCTTGAAGAGCATACCAATGGGTCTTGGTTTTTATACAATTGCCACCCTGTGTGTTTCAACTGGGGCATTTATCCCATTTACATTTAAGTTAAGTATTGTTATGCGTAGATTTTATCTTGTTATCTTGATGCTAGCTGGTTATTTTTATTTTTCAGACTTGTTTATGTGGTTGATTTATAGTGTCAATGGTCTGTGTACTTGAGTGTGTTTTTATGGTGGCTGGTAATAATTTTCCCTTTCCAAATTGGTGCTTCCTTCAGGAGCTCTTGAAAAGCATGTCTGGTGTTCATGAATTAACTCGGAATTTGCTTGTCTGAAAGGGATGTTATTTCTCCCCAGATTAAGCTTAGTTTGGCCAGATATAAAATTCTGGCTTAAAGTTTATTTTCTTTAAGAACGTTAAATATTGGCCCCCAATCTCTTTTGGCTTGTAGGGTTCTCACTGACAGCTCTGCTCTTAGTCTGATCAACTTCTTTTTGTAGGTGACTTGGCTTTTCTCTGCGGCTGAGCTTTTTTTTCTTTTTTTTTCTTCCATTTCAAGTTTGGGGAATCTGACGTTTACGTGTCTTGGGTATGATTTTTTCTTGGAGTATCTTACTGAACTTCTCTCCATTTTCTGAATTGTTGGCCAGTGTAGCAAGGTTGGGGAAGTTCTCATTGATGATATCCTGAAATATGTTTTCCTGATTGGTTCCATTCTCCCCAGCTCTTTCAAGTACACCAATCAGTTGTAGATTTGGTCTCTTTACATAATCCCATATTTCTCAAAGGTTTTGTTTATTCCTTTCATTCTTTTTTTCTATTCTTCTCTGCATGTCTTCTTTCAGAAATACAAACTTCAAGCTCTGAGTTTCTTTCCTCATTAATACTTGTGATTGCATTATGAAATTTTTGTATTGTGTTTTACAGTGCTATCGGGTTGGTTAGGCTCCTCTCTATCCTGGCTAATTTGTTTGTCAGCTCCTGCAATATTATATTGTAATTTTTAGCTTTCTTGTATTGAGTTAGAGCATGCTCCTTTAGATCAGTGAAGTTCATTTTTATCCACATTCTGGGGTCTACTTCTGTTATTTCAGGGATCACAGCCTCACCCTTATTCTGAACTCTTGCTGGAGAAGTAGTGTGGTCGTTTGGGAGAGGGAGAGCACCCTGATTTTTGAGTTTTTAGTATTCTTGTTGTGATTCTCACCTTTGTGTGCCTATCTATCTTTAATCTTTGAGGTTGCTGGCCTTTGAATGAGATTTTTGTTTGTTTCTCTTCCTTTTAACTGTTTGGCCATTTTGTGTGGGGCTGCTGTAGTTTGTTGGGCATCTGCTCCACTCTCTTGTCACCTCGGATTTTCCAGTATCTGGGGGTATCACCAGTGAAGGCTGTGAAACAAGAAAGATAGCAGCCCACTCCCTTCCCTGGGAGCTCCATCCCAGGGCGGGTGCAGACATGTTGAGGGCTCGAACACACCTGTAGGAGGTGACTGGAAACCCCAGTTGGTAGGTCTCACCCAGCTAGGAGGAATAGGATTGGGGACCCACTTAAGCCATCTAGCCCCACTTTCATAGATCAGCCATGCTGTGCGGGGTACCATTTCTGCCCTTCATCAGATTGGGCTCTCCAAAGCCTGGAGGCTGAAACAGCAAAGATGGTGGCCAACCCCTCTCTCTAGGAACTCTGGCCCAGGAAGTTTTTAAACCTCTGCCAGCCAGACAACATCAGTGGGAGTTGCTGGAGGCCCTGGTTGGGAAGTTCCACCCAGAGATGCAGAGCATATTAGGTCCCACTTAAAGAAGCAATCTGATCACATTATGGCAGATCCACTGTGCTATGCTGGGGGATTCCTTCTTCCCTGGGATGGTTTGGACTCTCCTAAGCCCACTGATTGTTATGGCTGAGTTCTCCAAACAACAAATATGAAGACCCACTGCTCCCAATGTGCACTGCATCCAGGAATAAATCAAAACTCTGCCTGCCGGAGAATATGGAAGGGGCTGTCTGGAGGCTCTGGTAGGAGGCCCCACTCTGAGATGAAAAAGGTATCTGGGTCCCACTTCAAGAAGTAGTCCGGCCAAACTTTGGGAGGGCCAATGTGCCGTGCTAAGGGATTTCTTCCATCTGCCATGAGTTTTTTTTTTTTTAACTCTCCTAAACCTCCAGGCTGGAATGGCTGAGTCATCCAAACAGCAAATATAGCAGCCAGCCCCTGCCTCCAGGAACGTTGTTCCATCCCAGGTAATTGCAATGCTGTTGCTGGGGGCTGGATGGAATTCCAAGCCAGTAGGTCTTATCCTGTGAGGCGTCATGGAAGTGGGGCCCACTGATGCTGCTCAGGCCCATGGATTCAGCTTCCTTTCTAGGGGCATTTACGGAGATCCAACCTCCCACCTTGTCTGAGTTGCAGTCACCTTTGCCAGAGATCTCAGAGCCAACGTATGTAAAGCTCCTGCGATTCTGTTTGTGTCTGAGCAGTTGTTCTGCCGGGAACACGCAGCTCTGTGTATCAGACCAAAGGCCCTGGTGGAATAAGTTTACGAGAAAATCTCCTGACCCGAGAGTTGCAAAGATCCATGGGAGAAGTGTGGTTTCTCAGGGTCACGTATTTGCTCACCACTTCCTTGGGCAGGGTAGGTTCCCTTTGGTCTGTGTTACTCCCGGGTGGGCGTTTGCCATGCCCTTCTTTTTCCCATGGGTTGAGCTGTTTCCTTCATTAGTCCCACTGCAAATATCTGGGTGTTTCAGTTGATGGTGCTGTATTTATTTTCCCTCTTTGTTTCTTTTCATGAAAGCCACACACCATAGCTACTTCTAGTCAGCCCTCTTGGCACACTTTGCTACAATATTTCAGTAGATGGTTTTTATCCTGTAGGCTGTCTCATGGTCCCATATGGCTGGCTGTAGGAGCACAAGCCTGCACCAGCAACCATGTCCATTTCAAAGGCTAAGAAGTAGGAAAGATGCAAGGTCAAAGTGGCTTGCACAGCTGCATCAGCTCCATCTGAGGAATCTCCCTGAAGTCCCATCAATACTTATGGTTACAACCAATTGTCTTGAATAGGGGTCAGAAACTATAACCTTTGTGTTTGTAAGTTGCTGTTTGAATAAAACTAAATTTCTAATTTTGTGTTTTGTTTTGTTTTGTTTTGTTTTGTTTTGTTTGATGGAGTCTCACTCTGTCACCAGGCTGGAGTGCAGTGGTGTGATTTTGGCTCACTGCAACCTCTGACCCTTGGGTTCAAGTGATTCTCCTGCCTCAGCCTTTCAAGTAGCTGGGATTACAGGTGTGCTTGCATCACCATGCCCAAAATGCTGGGATTACAGGCATGAACCACCACACCCAGCCCTGACTCTCTGTTTTTAAGAGTGAAAGCAAAATTAAAACTGTGGCAATGACAAGTGCTCTTTTTCTACACTAAATTCAAAGGTAAACAGAAGAAGATGGAGGTTTTCTCAGGTGAAGTGGGCACTCATTTTTCAAACAAAGCCTTTTTTGGTGATTATTTATTTACAGATCAGATGGGAAAAAAATCTGGGTTCTTGTAAGCACTCCCTTTATGACCAAATGTTAGTCAAGCTTAACTGAACCCTCTTTTTGACTAAGCCAACCTTGACTTCTTGCCCTGCTCCTGGTTTGAGAGGCTCACTTTCATAAATCCTGCTAATACTGTTTAGTAAAAATCCACATATCCCTTATGTCTACTAATATCGTGATTCCCTTTCTTTGATATTTAAGTCCTTAGCCAACCTGTAACCAGGCTTCTGCTATAAAAAGTTCCTCTTCCTCCTTTGGTATTTTATCAAATGTTTTTCAATAATTCTTATCCACTGATTTATTCTGCTTATTGACTATAAATTCTTCGTTGTCTGTGTTCAGAGTTATGATCAATTTCTGAACTGAACCCTATTACGATGGCCATAAAATCTACTACAATAGTATTAATGTCTTTCTTCCCAATTTTTAACAAACATCAGAAATTTTTATTTCACAGTTTCCCAACAGTATGTTTGAGTATAAAAACAGTTTTCAGTTTGCCCCCAAAAATGATGTGATCCACTGTGTAGATGTGTATGCCTGATCCTTGTGTCCAAAAAAGTATGTTTTTATTTAAATGGGGTGAGGGTGACAGATTATAGAGCCAATGTTTTCCTAAAATGCTGAGTCATAATTGAAACCATACAAATCAAGAATATAGAATGCTTGGACTCCAACATTTTTAACCCTGAGGATATTTTGATGTCCATAATTTATATTACTGTGAAAATAATGCACAAGAAAGAAAACTGATAGCTCTCCCTCTCCCTCTCCCTCTCCCTCTCCCTCACCCTCTCCGTCTCCCCACGGTCTCTCTCTCCCTCTCTTTCCACGGTCTCCCTCTGATGCCGAGCCGAAGCTGGATGGTACTGCTGCCATCTCGGCTCACTGCAACCTCCCTGCCTGATTCTCCTGCCTCAGCCTGCCGAGTGCCTGCGATTGCAGGCGCGCGCCGCCACGCCTGACTGGTTTTCGTATTTTTTTGGTGGAGACGGGGTTTCGCTGTGTTGGCCGGGCTGAGCTCCTAACCGCGAGTGATCCGCCAGCCTCGGCCTCCCGAGGTGCCGGGATTGCAGACGGAGACTCGTTCACTCAGTGCTCAATGGTGCCCAGGCTGGAGTGCAGTGGCGTGATCTCGGCTCGCTACAACCTCCACCTCCCAGCAGCCTGCCTTGGCCTCCCAAAGTGCCGAGATTGCAGCCTCTGCCCGCCTGCCACCCCGTCTGGGAAGTGAGGAGCGTCTCCACCTGGCCGCCCATCGTCTGGGATGTGAGGAGCCCCTCTGCCTGGCTGCCCAGTCTGGAAAGTGAGGAGCGTCTCTGCCCGGCCGCCATCCCATCTAGGAAGTGAGGAGCGCCTCTTCCCGGCCGCCATCACATCTGGGAAGTGAGGAGCGTCTCTGCCCGGCCGCCCATCATCTGAGATGTGGGGAGCACCTCTGCCCTGCCGCCCCGTCCGGGATGTGAGGAATGTCTCTGCCCGGCCGCCCCGTCTGAGAAGTGAGGAGACCCTCTGCCTGGCAACCACCCCGTCTGAGAAGTGAGGAGCCCCTCCGCCCGGCAGTCACCCCGTCTCGGAAGTGAGGAGCATCTCCGCCTGGCAGCCACCTCGTTCGGGAGTGAGGTGGGGGGGTCAGCCCCCTGCCTGGCCAGCCACCCCATGCGGGAGGGAGGTGGGGGGTCAGCCGCCCGCCCGGCCAGCCGCCTCCTCCGGGAGGGAGGTGGGTGGGTTAGCCCCCCGCCTGGCCAGCCGCCCCATCCGGGAAGTGAGGGGCGCCTCTGCCCGGCAGCCCCTGATGGGAAGTGAGGAGCCCCTCTGCCCGGCCAGCCGCCCCGTCTGGGAGGGAGGTGGGGGATCAGCCCCCCGCCCGACCAGCCACCCCTTCTGGGGGGGAGGGAGGTGGGCGGGTCAGCCCCCCGCCCTGCCAGCCGCCCCGTCCGGGAGGTGAGGGGCGACTCTGCCCGGCCGCCCCTACTGGGAACTGAGGAGCCCCTCTGCCCGGCCAGCCACCCCATCCGGGAGGGAAGTTGGGGGGTCAGCCCCCCGCCCGGTCAGCTGCCCCGTCCGGGAGGGAGGTGGGGGGTCAGCCCCCCGCCCGGCCAGCCGCCCCGTCCGGGAGGGAGGTGAGGGGGTCAGCCCCTCGCCCGGCCAGCCGCCCTGTCCAAGAGGGAGGTGGGGGGGTCAGCCCCCCGCCTGGCCAGCCGCCCCGTCCGGGAGGTGAAGGGCGCCTCTGCCCAGCCGCCCCTACTGAGAAGTGAGGAGCCCCTCTGCCCTGCCACCACCCCGTCTGGGAGGTGTACCCAACAGCTCATTGAGAATGGGCCATGATGACAATGGCGGTTTTGTGGAATAGAAAGGGGGGAAAGGTGGGGAAAAGATTGAGAAATCGGATGGTTGCCGTGTCTGTGTAGAAAGAGGTAGACATGGGAGACTTTTCATTTTGTTCTGTACTAAGAAAAATTCTTCTGCCTTGGGATCCTGTTGATCTGTGACCTTACCCCCAACCCTGTGCTCTCTGAAACATGGGCTGTATCCACTCAGGGTTGAATGGATTAAGGGCGGTGCAAGATGTGCTTTGTTAAACAGATGCTTGAAGGCAGCATGCTCCTTAAGAGTCATCACCACTCCCTAATCTCAAGTACCCAGGGACACAAACACTGCGGAAGGCCACAGGGTCCTCTGCCTAGGAAAACCAGAGACCTTTGTTCACTTGTTTATCTGCTGACCTTCCCTCCACTATTGTCCTGTGACCCTGCCAAATCCCCCTCTGCGAGAAACACCCAAGAATGATCAATTAAAAAAAAAAAAGAAAACTGATAATGCTTAAAATTAAACATGGTGCAACGTATCACTGACTAAAAACTGATATAAGAAAACATTATTCCCAAAAACATTTGGGTATCCACCACTTAACCCAGGAAAGTAGACCGTGTAGAAATAATGGTCCCTACAGACAATTTGTAGAAGCAGAATCTATAAATTATGATGTGAAAAATTCAGGTAATTTTTGTTTAAATATAGTGATCCTGATAAAAATTCAATTGAATTAAAAATTAGAGAAGATTAACTTGAATTAGTTATGTTTTTATAAAATATAAATTATGAAGTTAAAACGTAATATATAAGTATGCTCTGGAAAACACATTCTCAAATGAATAAAATTTCTTTTTATTGGATTAGTTGAATGTTTGATGTTATCTGTTTATTAAACCCAAGGGGATATCACCACCGATCCCACAGAAATACAAACTACCATCAGAGAATACTATAAACACCTCTATGCAAATAAACTAGAAAATCTAGAAGAAATGGATAAATTCCTCGACACATACACCCACCCAAGACTAAACCAGGAAGAATTTGAATCTCTGAATAGACCAATAACAGGCTCTGAAATTGAGGCAATAATTAATAATTAGCTTTCCAACCAGAAAAAGTCCAGGACCAGATGGATTCACAGCCAAAATCTACCAGAGGTACAAGGAGGAGCTGGTACCATTCCTTCTGAAACTATTCCAATCAATAGAAAAAGAGGGAACCTCCCTAACTCATTTTATGAGGACAGCATCATCCTGATACCAAAGCCTGGCAGAGACACAACAAAAAAAGAGAATTTTAGACCAATATCTCCGATGAAGATCTATGCAAAAATCCTCAATAAAATACTGGCAAACCGAATCCAGCAGCATATCAAAAAGCTTATCCACCATGATCAAGTGGGCTTCATCTCTGGGATGCAAGGCTGGTTCAACATACACAAATCAACAAACGTAATCCACCTTATAAACAGAACCAATGACAAAAAAACCATGTGATTATCTTGAGATATCAAGAGATGCAGAAAAGGCCTTTGACAAAATTCAACAACTCTTCCTGCAAAAAACTCTCAATAAATTAGGAATTGATGAGACGTATCTCAAAGTAATAGGAGCTATCTCTGACAAAGCCATAGCCAATATCATACTAAATGGGCAAAAGCTGGAAGCATTCCCTTTGAAAACAGGCACAAGACAGGGATGCCCTCTCTCACCACTCCTATTCAACACAATGTTGGAAATTCTGGCCAGGGCAATCAGGAAGGAGAAGGAAATAAAGGGTATTCAATTAGGAAAAGAGGAAGTCAAATTGTCCCTGTTTGCAGATGACATGATTGTATATCTAGAAAACCCCATCATCTCAGCCCAAAATCTCCTTAAGCTGATAGGCAACTTCAGCAAAGTCTCAGGATACAAAATCAGTGTGCAAAAATCATTAGCATTCTTATACACCAATAACAGACAAACAGAGAGCCAAATCGTGAGTGAACTCCCATTCACAATTGCTTCAAAGAGAATAAAATACCTAGGAACCCAACTTACAAGGACGTGAAGGACCTCTTCAAGGAGAACTACAAACCACTGCTCAATGAAATAAAAGAGGATACAAACAAATGGAAGAACATTCCATGCTCATGGGTAGGAATAATCAATATCGTGAAAATGGCCATACTGCCCAAGGTAATTTATAGATTCAATGCCATCCCCATCAAGCTACCAAAGACTTTCTTCACAGAATTAGAAAAAAACTACTTTAAAGTTCATAAGGAACTAAAAAAGAGCCCTCATTGCCAAGTCAATCCTAAACCAAAAGAACAAAGCTGGAGCCATCACGCTACCTGACATCAAACTATACTACAAGGCTACAGTGACCAAAACAGCATTGTACTTGTACCAAAACAGAGATATAGACCAATGGAACAGAACAGAGCCCTGAGAAATAATGCCACATATCTACAACCATCTGATCTTTGACAAACCTGACAAACACAAGAAATGGGGAAATGATTCCCTAGTTAATAAATGGTGCTGGGAAAACTGGCTAGCCGTATGTAGAAAGCTGAAACTGGATCCCTTCCTTGCACCTTATACAAAAATTAATTCAAGATGGATTCAAGACTTAAATGTTAGACCTAAAACCGTAAAAACCCTAGAAGAAAACCTAGGCAATACCATTCAGGACATAGGCATGGGGAAGGACTTCATGTCTAGAACACCAAAAGCAATGGCAACAAAAGCCAAAATTGACAAATGGGATCTAATTAAACTAAGGAGCTTCTGCACAGCAAAAGAAACTACCATCAGACTGAACAGGCAACCTACAGAATGGGAGAAAGTTTGTGCCATCTACTCATCTGACGAAGGGCTAATATCCAGAATCTACAATGAACTCAAACAAATTTACAAGAAAAAAACAACCCCATCAAAAAGTGGGTGAAGGATATGAAGACCCTTCTCAAAAGAAGACATTTATGCAGCAAAAAGACACATGGAAAAATGCTCATCGTCACTGGCCATCAGAGAAATGCAAATCAAAACCACAATGAGATACCATCTCACACCACTTAGAATGGCGATCATTAAAAAATCAGGAAACAACAGGTGCTGGAGAGGATGTGGAGAAATAGAAACACTTTTACACGGTTGGTGGGACTGTAAACTAGTTCAACCATTGTGGAAGTCAGTGTGGCGATTCCTCAGGGCTCTAGAACTAGAAATACTATTTGACCCAGCCATCCCATTACTGGGTATACACCCAAGGGAGTATAAATCATGCTGCTATAAAGGCACAAGCACAAGTATGTTTATTGCGGCACTGTTCACAATAGCGAAGACTTGGAACCAACCCAAATGTCCAACAATGATAGACTGGATTAAGAAAATGTGGCACATATACACCATGGAACAAAATGCAGCCATAAAAAATGAAGAGTTCATGTCCTTTATAGGGACATGGATGAAGCTGGAACCATCATTCTGAGCAAACTATCCAAGCACAAAACACCAAACACCGCATGTTCTCGCTCATAGGTGGGAATTGACCAAAGAGAACATATGGGCAGAAGAAGGGGAACATCACACTCCGGGGCCTGTTGTGGGGTAGGGTGAGGGGGGACGGATAGCATTTGGAGATATACCTAATGTTAAATGGCGAGTTACTGGGTGCAGCACACCAACATGGCACATGTATACATATGTAACAAACCTGCATGTTGTGCGCATGTACCGTAAAAGTTAAAGTATAATAAAAAAATAAAATAAAATAAAATTTAATTAGAAATGAAAAAAGAAAATTCTACAACTTGAAACTAGATAGAAGATAGATCAGAAACAAAAATAGGAGTAAAGTGTGACTTTCTTCTCACTGTTTGATTATTATAGAGGCATTTTTATTTCATTAAAATCTTATATTTCTGGGGCTAGTTAATGTTATGATATTTTATTTTTAAATAGTTTTATTTTATTTACTTCAGTTAATTTGTAATTTTTGAGGATGCATTGTAGGTGTATATACTTATGGGGTTCATGAGATGTTTTGATGCGGTCTCGCAATGCATAATAATCACATCATAGAGAATGGGATATCCACCCACTCAAGCATTTATTCTTTGGGTTAAAATCTGATTATTCCTTCTTAGCTAGTTTAAAATGCACAATTACATTATTATTGACCAGAGTCATCTCGTTGTGCTATCAAATAATATGTCTTATTTATTCTATTTTTTTGTACACATTAACAGTCCCCACCTTTCCCCCAGCCTCCACTGTCTTTCTTAGCCTCTGAAAACCATCCTTCTGCTCTCTATGTCCGTGAATTCAGTTGTATTAATTCTTCCATCCCACGAATAAGTGAGAACGCACAGTGTTTATCTTTCTGTGCCTGGCTTATTTCACTTAACATACTCTTCTCTTTTATCCATGTTGTCGTAAAAGACAAAATCTCATTTTTATGGCTGAATACTACTCCAATGTATATATGTACTACTTTTTTTATACATTCATTCATTTGTAGACAGTTTGCTTTCAAATCTTAACTATTGTAAACAGTGCAGCAACAAGCCGATTTTCTTTCTTTTGTGTCAATGCCCATCACTGGGATTGTTGGGTTGCATTGTAGCTGTGGCAGCTCAATTTTTAGCTTTTTGAGGAACCTCCACACTTTTTTATAGTGGTTATACTAATTTACATTCCCACCAAGAGTGCACTAAAGTTTTCTCCACATCCTCGTCAGCACTTGTTATTGTCTGTCTTTGGGATATAAGACATTTTAACTGGAGTGAGATAATATCTTATTGTAGTTCTGATTTGCATTTCTCTGAGGTTTAATGATGTTTAGCAACATTTATATGCCTGTTTGCCATTTGTATGTTTTCTTTGTAGAAATGCCTCCTCCTGGCTGGGTGTTTCATGCCTATAATCTCAGCACTTTGGGATGCCGAGATGGAAGGATCACCTGAGGTCAGGAGTTTGAGATCAGCCTGGCCAACATGGCTAAACCCAGTCTCCACTAAAAATATAAAAATTTGTCAGGCATGTGTTCTGCATGGGAGATGCATGAGGAAGAAGAAAAGGCACACACAATACTTTTAAGGGTAAACATCTTTTGTCTCAATTATATGGCAATACAGATATAATAAGTAAATGATATGATAAGCAAATTGATATGAGAAGGGAAAAAATATATATATTTTTATATATATAAATATATATAATATATATAAAATTATATATGTATTTATTTACATTTATTTATTTAAATAATTATGTACATTATACAATTATTTTTATTTACAGTTATATGTATAAATTATATACATATATATGTATATATATATATACATATGTTTACACACAGCAGACTACAGAGTATGGAGGAAGCATCACCAGACAGAGAAGCAATAGCCTGGGCTCCAGAGTCAGACACTACACTCACCAGACTATGGAGGATTCATCAACAGACCGGGAAGCAACAGCCTGGGCTACAGAGTTGGCCCCTCATCCCTGCAGAGATGAGGAGAGGTCTCAGGAAGCTCTAGTGCCATCTGGGACCCTAGCTCTTTTTGTAAGGAGTTCTTTGGCATAAGGCCGGGTAACGAGGACTCTTCACTACTGGGCTCAAAAACCACAAAAATGTCAAATTTTTGGCGATTGTCTGTTGTTTTTCAATAACTAACATACAGGAACAGATTAAAATAGAAATTTCTCTGAGACACTGGTGGATGAACGCCTGAAGAAACTCACAGAACCTGTTCCGGGACTTGGTGACCATTGTTTGTGTCCATGTTCAATTGAGATAAAATTGAATATTTAACTTTTCTTCCAAATTTGGCTTCAATTTGATACTCAATTGTAGGAAAATACCCTTACAGATACTTGGGGAAAGCATAGTTGATACAGATTACAGACTCAGGGTAAGCACAGGAGAATTAAAAGCACAGTTAATGAAAACCACACCCACCATGGCTGTGCAAGGAGAGTCGTAGTGTGACAATTGTCAGGGATATACACACAACATTCGGTATGCAGTAAGGTACAGGGACGATTCTCCAACGTAGCCCATTTTTGGTGGCCTCTGGCAATTCCACGCATAGCCAACATTGACTGCAGTTGGCTTCTGTTGCAGTGGTGGCTATGCAGATGATGAATTTATTCTTGGCATCAGACACAGAGACACAGGTACTGACCATTAGTAAACAGGTTATTCTCTGTAATAACCAAAACAGAGGGGAACATAATATTGTTTTTCATCTTTAGGAAACTGTACTATGCCTTCAGTTTCTTCTCCCATAGCTACAAGTTCACCAGCCATAGGAGTAGGATGTGATGGACGCTGTACTCATATTTTGGCTCCAGGATTTAAGCTACGTGTACCAGTGCGTCTGAATCTCCCAGTTCTGTATGTAGCCTCTGTTGGGGCAGAGACATCCTCAGGGGTTAATTGTTGACAAGGTACCACTAAAAATTGAGGAACCCACATCTGCAGTTTTACAGCAAAAGATTCTCGAGTGACATTGTATAAAATGATCTTTAACTCTCCCCTGTAACCACTCTGAATTATACCACCATACATTATGCCGTTCATTGCAAGACTTGAATGTGTTTTAATCCATTCATCCGCATTCAAATTTGCAACTATGGTGGAAATTTTGGCCTGTTGATCTGTCTGCTGATTAAATAGTCTGTCGAGAAAGCAGAGACACATGAGCATCAACATGAAAAACAGTGATAATGATAGTGTGCACCAGGATTCAGGTATCTTCCCAGGAGTGTTTTCCCTCTTTATGCCTAATTAACCATTTGTAAAGATAAAATAGAGAATGAAGGTGGTGTCGGTGAGATTGGACATCAAAAGACACAAAAGGAATGTGACATGGTGACCTGAGAAAGGAATAGAGAGAGAAATTAAAATAGACAAAAAGGGGAATCAGCAAGGAGATGGAGGAGGCAGAATAGAAGAGGGGACTCAACAAACAGGAGCAGTTGGTGCAACAGAGGGTGCATCGCATACTTGTACGACGCTTCTTTCATTTTCTAGTTACTTTTCCTTTTAAATTTGTGTCAGATTTAGTTAAGGTGTCAACGTTTTTTTAAATCTTTTTATATACTGAAAATATTCTTTGCTGTTTAGTAAATAACTTTCAGTATTTCAATTTGCTCTTGATAAGAGTATTAATTTTTAAATCAACAGACAACATTCAGTAAAACTAGTTAGTCTAATATGCAGCAGCTTCTTCTCTTCCACATGTGATTTGGGAATTTAATGCACTGTGAGACGAAATTTCCAAGTCTATGATGTCTTTAAGTTCCCTTTGCTCTTTTTTTTTTTAGCAGATATTGAAGAATGGGCTGGCTGGGCATGAAACTTTCTTCCACCAAGACCATCTTTTCATGATAAATACATTGTCCTGAGTTATTTTTATAGCTAATCCTCTTTCTTGTTTCCAATTGTCAATTATTACATATTTTCAACTTTATAATTTTGGAAGTTCGATGTGATTTCTCAAAAAAAGAAAGAAAAAAAGAAAATGCTTGAGTTTAATGTGATTAGAATAACAGAGAAGTTTCTCCTGGTCAAGAGTATAAAATTTGGTCTGAGACCTTTAGCCAGTGCTGGTGACTCTCTGCTGGCCTGTCCTCATCCTATCCCTCCCTTCCCAAACATACACTTACACAGTCACAAGGCAGCTGAGGAGAGGAGAGCACAGACTTTAAACTCTGTATGTGTATATATTTTAAGATAGAACCTTGCTCTGTTGCCCAGGATGGAGTGTAGTGGCACTATCTCGGCTCACTGTAGGCTCCACCTCTGAGTTCAGGCGATTCTCGTGCCTCAGTCTCCCAAGTAGCTGGGATTACAGGTGCCTACCACTATGCCCAGCAAATTTGTGTGTTTTTAGTAGAGTCAGGGTTTTGCCATGTTCCCCAGGTTGGTATCATACTCTTAGCCTCAAGCGAGCCACTGGCCTTGGCCTCCCAAAGTGCTGGAATTACAGGCATGAGCCACAATACCCGGCCTGTCTTTATATGATTTCTTTGGCTCTAAAGAGTATCAGTGGTGTCTGTACCTTTCTCAGCGGCTTAGGGTATCGTTTTTAGCAGAGGCTGTGGTAAAGTTTTGCTGGGAATAGGGGCACCAGAGGTTTAGTCATTGGATCCCAGTGATGGCAGTGGTGAGCTTACCATGCCTGCTTTTGGGTCTCAAGGCAGTTATGCTGGCAGCAGTGTTAACAGGTCCAGGAAGACTAATTATTTGGCCTTCATGTGATTTGCTCAGGTGTCAGCAGTGAGCAAGGTGGGTGGGCAGCTTCTTGAGCCCCTGGACAGTGGTTATGGCATGGATGATGGCAGTAGCAACGACAAGAAAAACCTCTGACTCCCAAGCGTTCCATGCTGGTGTTGGTGTTTGCTGTGATGGGCTGGGAAGGCCAGTTTCTAGGAACACAGGTGGTGTATATATGTGGGTATCAGCTGCGTTAGTAGCTCCAGGTTCAGTGAGTCCATCCTCAGGTCTCAGAGAAGAGTGCTCAGGTGCCAATCTTGTTAGACTTCACTGGACTGAAGTCCATATTTTAAGCACTATCTGGCTCCACACACTCATTGGCCGTTCTTATCATCACTCTGAGCCCATTAACCCCGCAGCAGAAAAACATCAGGAAAGTTTTTAATATTTCTTCTTTGGGGCACAGTATGCAAGGAAAGGAATTGTATTAAGAGATGAAGTAAGTACTCCTATTAGAAAAAGGAACACTTTGGGGCCAGAAATGGACCAGTGTCCAAGGCATGCAGAAAGCAGGAAATAATTACCGGGTCATGGGATGGAACTATGGAGAGTGACTAAAGTTTCAAGATCATAAACCAGTCTTTAGTTGCTCCTAATTTAATTTAATGCAATCCTCACTCTTTGTCATCATTTGGTTTTAATGTATAAAGCTATGGGGTCTGCTTATTGTATGTTTTGTAGTATAATTTGGAAATTAATCTATCAGCTCTTTTTTCTCAGCCCAGTTGGTGTCTTGTCAACTCCTCTGCACTAATTGCTTCTTGTTTTCTCACAGTCCAGCCCTATGTTCTCATGAGCTGTGACCCTGGGGTATCCAGGCTCTGGTTTGCCTGCTGTGGAAAAAGTGCAGCTTTCTAAGCTGGTCACATATCTCTACATTAAATGTACATTGTCTTTTTAAAGCAATGTTCAGACATTCATATATTCTTTCTTCCTGAGGTTTAAGCACCACAAGCAGCAGTCATATAATGGAGAGATTCTCAACAACAGAGTGAGTCTCTGCCATAATTGGATTTATTATACGTTAGAAACAGCAGTTACATACTAAATGTTTTACAAAGTGTTTTTTATAATTTTTATTTCCTTAAATATTGCAAATAGAAAATTTAGAGGTCCAACATTTATTTAAAATTTGGCTCTTGTAATTTGCAGTGGAAAGCTTATATGAGTATCTACCTCTAAACCAATTAATTAAAAATGCTCTGGGGTTAACTGGGCACCAAAGTATAAGAAAATTTTAATTAAGTGAAAAAGTCTAAGTAATGACCAACTAAGGAAATAAAAAGGAAATTATACTTTCAACCCCCTTTCCCCCAGTTGCTCTATGCTCTATTTTTTTTCTATTGCCAAGTTGTACAATTTTATTTTTGTCCTTGATAATTGTACTTTATTTTAACGTGACTAGATTATATTTTATTTTATTTTAATTTATTTTATTTTGTTTTATTTTATTTTAATGTGACTAGATTTTGCCTCACTCCAGGCTGGAGTACGGTAGCATGATTATAGTTCACTGTAACCTCAACTTCCTGAGTTCAAGTAATCCTCCTGCCTCAGCCTTCTAAGTAGTTGAGACCACAGTTACATGCTATAATGTCAAAATAATTTTTAAAACATTTTCAGTGACAAGGTCTTGCTTAGGCTTGTCTCAAACTTCTGGCCTTAATTGATCCTCTGGCCTCAGCATCCCTAGCAGCTGAAATTTCAAGTGTGAGCCACTGAGCCCAGCTCTTTATTTTTATAAATATTTATCTCCTTAGTTTTTTCTGAAGCATTTTCAACACCTTCACCTGAACTTTCAGGCTTTCAACTCACAGTTGATTTTATCCATTTTGCTATTCATCCTATTTATTCTATTGCTTGTATACTTTTGTAACATATTTAATATTTTGAGTTTTAAATTCTTGCTACTTATATGTATGTATTTTTAGTTGTCTCTTTTGCAAGGCTGCGATTCTCTCTAGAGAAGAGAATGGGCTCTATGCTTTCTTGAGAAAAGCATTTTATAACATGGGAGTAAAACAGACCCTGTGGAAAATAAAATAAAAGGCATTTTAATCATGATTTTTTATAAATTGCTATTTGGGAGACACAAATTTAGCAAGAAGCTATATCATGTTCCATTCAGATGAGGTTAGGGAGGGACTTATAAAGTTTTACTGCAAGTTTACACAAGTGAAAGATTTTAGCACAGTCTATGATGGACAATGTTTGATTGCCAGCTTAGACTGTATCTAGGCAATCATCAGCTTAATTCAGCACAGCTTTCTCTTCAGGAGGTTTGTGATCAGGCTCAGTATAAACAATCCAAGTCAAATGCAGTTGCCTTTTTAGGACATCTGTAATTTTCCCAGTTCGAACAGGTAAAATTCCACCTGGGTGTGTATGAGTATTAATTCAACTCCTCATGTCCTCCTAGTTGTCTTTAGAGACCTCTCAAATAACTATCTCCATTTTGGATTTCTTTTAATTAGAAATAAAGAGCGCAAGGATTATCACTGGTTGGGAATATAGAAAAATAGTGCCCACCTGTGATTCATCGGACCCCAGTCAGAGAGAAAAGGCCAAGATATGCCTGACAGAAAGGCTTGAGGACCTTTAGGTAATTTATTCCTCAAAAAGAATTGGTTCACACCTGTAATTCCAGCACTTTGGAAGGCCAAGGCGGGCAGATTATTGGAGGTCAGGAGTTCAAGACCAGCCTGACAAACATAGTGAAACTAAAAATACAAAATTTACTAAACATACTAAACGTACAAAAATTAGCTGGACATGAAGCTGGGTGCCTGTAATCTCAGCTACACAGAAGCCTGAGGCAGCAGAATCTCTTGAACCCAGGAGGTGGAGATCGCAGTGAGCCAAGATTGTACCAATGTACTCCAGCCTGGGTGACACAGCAAGACTCTGTCTCAGAAAGAAAAAATTGGATAAAGAATTGCCCTAATGCTGGGAATTTTACCTCATAGGTAGTAAAAATATTTACAGAATAAGGCCCAGGTGTAGCCATAAAGTGGCATTACAATTCTTTCATTCTAGATAAGAAACTAACTTAAAAAAAGAATAGAAATTCTAAGGTAAGAGACAAAACTCTGGGAGGATTTACATCTAAGGTAAAGGCTCAATCACAGGACACCAGAAGAAGATTGAGAATGCAGCTTCCTTTCTGCCCTGCATCCATTGTCAATAGACTTTCCCTGGCCTTCTCCTTTTGACTTTGGTCATTTTATTTTATAATGTTTTTTTCCACATAGACCTGATGCAACTCCAGAGTTGGAAGAAAAAACAACAATGTCCTAATAGTTGCTTAGAGGAAACCTCAGCAAGTGAAGCAGAAGTTGATTTATTTTTTGTAAAATCATAGAAAGGTATTCATCCTCCTGATCTCTGCAACTGCTTTTTAAAGAAATCTATATTTCCAAGACTGTCGCTATGCTTTGTGAAAATACCTTCAAATTATTAATTCTGCAAGTTCGAATGATCTATCTTCACTCTTTCCTTGGGTTAATATTAAAATGAACATATGCTCTGAGAAAAATGGACCTGGGTGTCTTATCCGGCAGCCAGAAACTATGACTGCTTTTCTCTTCTTCCTCATACATTATGCTGCCGACTCTTTAGGATTTCATAATTCAAGGAGAAATGTTAGAGTCTGTATCTCATTTAAGCTTACACAAGTGAAATAAAAAGAACCACAACCACAACTCCGATTTTGTAGTAGAATGAGATTTTCATATAATATTCGACTCTAGCATTTACTATTTACGAAAAATAAATATTTCCCCTCCTCTCTGGATAAACACATTCTGGGGAAGAGCTCTCAGGGAGATGGAGAAGAGCTGTCTCTTCTTCTTCTGATTTTCAGTTGTTCCAGCAAATGTCTCACAATATTCTTTACATTGAAGCTGCAGGAAATGAACCAAAACACCAAGTTCCTTAGTTGGGCCCTGCTGCTGAGGAAGAGGCTGTGTTTGAGCTGGTCTCAGTTTGCCCTGTCACTGACATAGGACTCTGTACTGGGGCCCGGCTACTAGATGGAAGGGCTAAATTATGTTGGGACTTCCCTCAGAATTATGGCTCACCCTCCTCCCTCATCTGCATTCTGAGCTCCAGGCACTGTGTAGAGCACTCTGTTCATTGACAGTTCCCATGTATCCCTGATATGTGAGTCATCAGCACGGCTGCACTTCACAGAGGACAAAATGAAATCGAGGGGAGGAGAGGCAACTCTCGACACCTGCAGGACTGGTCAGTGGTGGAGCCGGGATCCCAGAGTCAGCTTTTAGGATCACTTCACTCACATTAAGCCCAAAACTTCACTGAGCCTTTTAAAATAAAGGGATACTGATTGTGCCACCTCACAGCCCTCGGGTAAAGCTAGATCAGGCTCAATGTGGAGGGCACTGAGCACAGCACAAGTTGCATGTGAGTGGGGACTGTCATTGTTTCCTGGGGCCCTCAGGTTTGGAGGTTTCCTGCCATGTAGTGACAGCTGGCTTAGGGGGCATTAGGGGAGGGGCTTCCCCACAGTTTGTTGCAACAGCCACCTGGCTCAACCAGGAACGTTCCAAAGTCATCCAGATAATTTCCCAGATGACCACTCAGTCATGTGGTGTCCTACTACCCATGGGATACAGCCTAAACTTTTTATCATAGGAGGAATAATTTCTAGTGTCTGACAGCACAGTAGGATAACTACAGTTAGCACTAATTTTTAATATATTTTAAAATAGATAGAAGAGATGGCTTTAAATTCTCCCAACACAAAGGAAATTTTTCAAACACAAAGAAAATAATATCCATGTTTGAGGTGATGGATATTCTAATTACCCTGATTTGATCACTGTACATTGCATGCATGTATCAAAATATCACTCATGCACCACAAATATATACTATTATTATGTATCAACAAAGGGAAAATTGCTAAAAGTGGCTCCCAACTAAAAAAAAAAAAGTCAATTTCTAAGTCACAGAAAAAGATGCTCACTTTAAATTGTAAGTTCTGTGACAGAATGTAAAGGTTTGCATAGTCACTTTTACAGTCCCAGACTATCATGCATAGAACTGCCTGGCCCCGTGTGTATGTACACACAGAGATACAACCATGCTTCTCTAGTGGGGCATTTTTTTCTCCCTGAAACATTTGCCAATGTTTGGAAACCTGTCTTGCTGTCTCGTTATTTTAGTAAATTGATTATGACTGTAATTAGGCCCAATTTAGTGACTGTAATTAGGCCCACTTGCTGTCTGCACATAGATGATCAGGGGCAAGTAGTCGAAGATATAGTTAAAGACATGATGAAACTGGCACATGTGCCAGTACAAGTGTGGCACCGATTTGACACTGAGGCCATGTTTGAAAATGGTTCCCGGCACTAGAAGGATTTAAAACTCTTATAATGGAAACTATAGTAGTAATAGGAACCTGCTTACTGATCTCTTGCTTACTAGCTGTACTCATTCAAGTGGTAAAAGTTTTCATGGCAACTCTAGTTCACCAGAACGCTTCAGCACGAGTGTACTACATGAATCACTATCAATCTGTGATAGAGGAAGACATAGGTAGTGAGGAAGAAGGTGAGAACTCCCACTAATAAAATGAGTGAGAGTCTCAAAGGGGGAAAATAAGGGAGGAGACCAAACCTCATATTGTCTTATACCCAATTTCTGCCTCCAAAGAAAGAAGAAGTAAAAACTAGAAGGCAGAAATGAAATCCACAAGCAGACAGCCCAGCGCCACACCCTGGGCCTGGTAGTTAAAGGTCAACCCCTGACCTAATCGGTTATTTGCATAAAAAATGCACTGTGAAGATCCCTGTCCTGTTCAGTACCTTTCTAATTACCAGTGTATGCAGCCCCCAGTCACATACCCACTGCTTGCTCAATAGATCGTGACCCTCTCATGCGGACCCCCTTAGAGTTGTGAGCCCTTAAAAGGGACAGGAATTGCTCACTCGGAGGGTTCAGCTCTTGGGAAAGAAGTCTTGCTGAAGCTCCCAGGTGAATAAACACCTTCTTTCTTTAACTCAGTGTCCAAGGGGTTTTGTCTGCCGCTCTTCCTGTTACATTGGGAGAGGCCAATGTGGGCAGCGACATGGGGAGGCACAGATCCCTTAGTGGTGGCTGTGTGCTCTGAGGCGAATGTGGGGAAAATCAGACCTAAGATGCTTCATATGGCTGATAGTACCAGCTTTACAGCTGCAGCAGTCTGCGACAGGGGAAGGCATGGTCCTGGCTAAGCAGCATCTGAAACTCCCGCAATAGGACCAGGTCTGGTGGACTCAAGAGTGAAAGTCAGAGTGAAAGTGAACTGCAAGAGAGGAAATGAGAGTGAAAACATCAAAAGTGGCTCCTTTGAAAAGCATAATAAAGAATTTTAAAAAAAGAGTTAGAGGTGATTATAGGATGAAACTGAGTGTTCAAAAGTTAAGGACATACTGTGAATTAGAATAGCCCTGTTTTAGTGTCAGATGGCTTGCCAAAGGCACTATAGAAAAATTGGCCGTGTGTTTTAAGGTGGTGACTAGGGTCAGAGAACAGCCAGGACATTCAGACCTAGTCTTTATATTGACTCATGGCTAAATGAATGCAGCCCTGCCTAGCAGTTTACTGTAGAATGCTCGCAGCTCACGGCAAGAGAAAATCAGCTGCTCTGGCAGCTACAGAGTTAAAAGGAGACACAGAGGCTTGTAGCACCTCCCAGCCAAAAGTGAAAGTAAAATCAGCTGCCCCAGCAACTGAAGACAAATGAAAAAATCTCAGAAAAGGCAGAAAAACCGGTTTTGTCACAACCACAGAAAAGAATAGAGACCGCTCCTCCTTACATTCCAATCTACCCCCTTTACCAAGGTAACTGTCCCTAAGGAGTTAAGTTCAAATGGATACATGCTGCCAGTCTCACCCGAGAAGGTGAAATGAGAGCGAAAATCAGGCAGGCCGTCTCAGGTCTGGTCGTGCATAAGATATGCTCATGCCTCTTAAGAGGACAGGAGGACCCCCACTAAGACCCAGATGATGCAGTCCAGATTCAGCACCTGCAAAGGTGCCGAGAAGCCCATCTGCAAAGGCTAAAGGATGGTAAAAGAAAAAGGCAATCAATATTTTAAAAAATCTCAGACATGCTTCAGGGTGCAGATAAAAGCACAGCAAGTTCTATGAAAGACTTTGTGAGGCATTTTTATTGTACACTCCGTTTAACCCTGAGGCTACTCAAAAATCAGTGCAGGGTGAATCCAGCACTTGTAAGGCAGACCCAAGGAGATATCAGGCATAAATTGCAGAAGTTACAAGCTCCGTAGGCGAGAATGCTACTCAGCTTATTAAAGTGACAACCAAGGTGTTCATTAACCGAGATGAGGAGGCAAAGGAAAAGGCTGATCACAGGCTTAAGAAAGGCTAACTTACTAGCAGCAGCCCTTCCGGGAAGAGGAGCTGGCTTTACAAGGAGGCATGGACGCGGGCGTGAACGTAGTCATGAAAAAGGCTAGTCTGGACAGGAGTGTGAAGGCCAGCCGAGGCTAGAGAGAGATTAATGTGCATGGTGCAAAAGGAAAGACACTGGAAGCATAAATGTCAAAGAAATAATGAAAATGATCAGGGCAATAGTAAAAGAAACAAAAAACAAACAAAAAAAACCCAAAAAAACAGAACCAAAAAATCACACACACACACCAGCCAAGGGCTACTACACGCAGAAGAAACCCAAGAACCACTGCACCTGCTGTAGAAGGCAGAATAAAAAGTGTCAGAAAAAAGCTCAAATCTCCTCTAAAAGTGTCAATATTTAAGCTTTTATATAAGCCAAGAGGAAAGATGGCTTAGTCCTGAAAAAATGCAGGCTGTTTGTGCACTTTCTACTCCAACCACCCGGTGTCAAGTAAGAGAGTTTCTAAGAGCAGCAAGGTTCTGCCGCGTTTACAACCCAAATTTCTTGCTCATGGTCAAGCCATCATACCAAGCCACTAAGAGGAGGAAAAAAGGAGCCCCTCCTCTAGGAAGCCAAAGAGGAGAAGGATTTTAAAGAAATCAAAGAAGCCTTGACTCAGGCCCCAGCTTTAGGACTGCCAGATCTAACTAATCAAGCTTTTCTTCTTGTATGTGCACAAGTGAAAGGGAGGCCATAGGGGTTCTGACTCAAGCCATAAGGTCATGGCATCGCCTGGTGGCATATTTATCCAGGCAATTAGATTCTGTTGCACTTGGATGGCCTCCTTGTCTTAAAGCACTAGCAGCCACTACCGTACTGGTGCAGGAAGCTAGTAAACTAACTTTAGAGACTGTGAATACCCTAAATCCGGCTACCTTACTCTCATCGAGTCAGTGCCAGGAGGACCGTTTCATTGTGGTGTGGACGTGGTAGATGAAGTGTTCTCAAGCCAGAGAGATTTGACAGATCAGTCCCTCAGGGACCCAAACATTGAATATTCTACTGATGGAAGCAGTTTCATACTAAAAGGAGCCCGCCAAGCTGCGTATGCAGTGGTGACTTTAGACTCAACAGTAGAGGTGCAGTCTTCATCTACAGAAACTTCTGATTAGAAAGCAGAACTAAGAGCTCTGACAAGAGTTCTCTGGCTAGCAAAAGACCAAAAGACCAATATTTATACAGGTTCCAAATATGCTTCTGCCACTTTGCATGTTCATAAGGTTATTTACAAAGAAAAAAAGAAGACTTTTAACTGCTGGAAACAAAGAAATAAAGTACAAGGAAGAAATCCTACAGCTCTTAAACGCTGTATGGGCCCCAAAAGTGACGGTAGTGAAGTCCTGCAAGAGGCAGCAAAAAGCAAGAACACTAAGGGCTAAAAAAGATACGAAGGCAAAGAGGCAAAGAAGGCTGCAATGACAACTCCACCTAAAGAAGATGCCTTAGCTATGCCTCTCCTCCCGGAGATTCCCCTCCTGGAGATCCCAATCTTCACTCCAAATAACAGAGCTTGGCTTCCCCAGGAAAATAAGAACTACATTGAAAGAGGATAATACAAATTCTTCAATGGGAGGCTAGCCATACCTGAAATGGTGACCCCCAGATTTGTAAAACAATTCCACCACCGAACTCAGATTAAAAAAAAAATAAAGACATTATTAAGGCATCATTTTTATCTGCCATGGCTCATTGCTATTACTCGGGCCATTTGTAAACTGTGTTTAACTTACACTCAGAACAATCCACGACAAGATCCTACTCGGCCCATGGGAGTTCAGGAAAAAGGAGCCATGCCCTGTGAAAATCTGCTTATGGACTTCACTGAATGACCCTGAGACGGGGGCTATCAGTACATATTGGTGTTCATTTGCACCTTTTCAGGATAGCTCAAGGCCTTTCCCACCAGGACAGAGAGGGCACTAGACATGACCAAGGCGTTAAGAGACATTGTTCCCAGATTTGGGCTGCCTCTAACTCTAAGATCAGAGAATGGACCAACATTTGTGGCTAAAATAGTTCAGGACTTAACTCGACTATTAAAAATAAAATGGAAATAACATACAGCCTACAGGTAGCAGATCTCAGGTAAAGTGGAGAGCATAAACTGGACACTCAAGCAGCTGTTGAAGAAATTTTGTCGAAAAACTCATCTGAAGTAATATCAGGTCTTGCCCATGGTCCTCTTATGAGTCAGGTGCACCCCCACCAAAAAACTGAGTATTCGCCCTCTGAGATTTTGTTCAGCTGCCCACCCCCCAGAAAAATCAGATTCAGGGTAATCTCTGTAAATTGGGAAAACTAACTTTAAGAAGGCAAATGCAGGCTTTAAGTATGGCTATACTAAAATGCATGGTTAAGTATGTAAAAAAATGCCTGTAAGTCTAACAGACGCAGTACACCCTTTCAAACCTAGGGACTTCGTTTAGGTAAAAAATGGAATTCAACCACTCTAGGACCCATATACGATAGGCGCCATATTGTAATCATGTCTACTCCCACTGCTGTTAAAGTTGCAGGTGCCACACCTTGGATTCACCATAGCCATCTAAAACCAGTGACAGTAGCGAGTCCTGATGACAACCTGTGGATTAGCCAACAAGACCCAGATTGCCCCACTCGAATAGCCCTATGGCAAATCTCAGCCACCGGTAAAAAGGACAACCGCCCTGCTCTGACCACACTGGAGGCTGGTCAGTCTAAGCATGGCTGAAGCTTAAGGATTCTTCAAACTCTGCTCTAGTCACATCCCAGAAGCTGACTAGTGTACACACAGCCGAAGCTAAGAGGACCATGTCCAGATAAGTAAATGTGAATACAATTTATAACCATAGTTACAATTCTGTCAATACTGATTGTTCCGTTGTTATGTTATTACTGCAAATGCTGCAAATGTCTATGCCCAGAGGAAAGTTTTTGTGCCCATGTGTAGTGTAAGCATGTTTCTATTACATACAACAATGTTGTTACCATTTATGCTTATACTGAAAGGGGATAAATCTCTTGAAGGATGTCCATGCTGTGTACACATTACCTGGATAAAAAATACCACAGTTAAAACTCTACTGTACCATACCTACTATGAATGTACAGGAAGCAAATTAGGAATATGCATATACAACCAGACCACCTATTCAGTCTGTGACTGAGGAAATAATCAGCTATATGTATGTTATGAGCCTGGGCTCTTACCCTATTAATTCTATTTTGAGGTAAATATTAAATCAGAGGGAGAAACAGAAGGAAAGCTTATAGCTCAAACCAAAGAAATCCCACCCTTCTAAAAAGGGCCTATTTCTTCTTTGATGACTGCCATGCCACGTATGTTCATAATCCTAAAAACCAGATTGTAAGACAAGGACATGCGATCCTTTAAATTTTACTATCTTAAAGCCAGAGCTACCTTTTTGGTCTACAGGACAGACAGCACTATTACCAGTTGATAGACAAGGAGCAGGTCTTGGAGTTCCACTACTAATTGTCAAAAATACTATAAGGACTCAAATGCATCCAACCCCTCAATACCAAGTCATTCTGTAAGCATTTTGATCAGCCAGTGCCCGAGGTTCCCCCATCAACCAAAAACTTATTTGCTCAACTAGCTGAAAACACAGATGGCAGCTTAAAAATTTCTTCATGCTATGTATGTAGAGAAACTAATATGGAGAATGAGTGGCAATGGGAGGCAAAGGAATTAATGCCACAAGATAACTTCACTTTGCTTAACCCTGCCAGTGAACCAACAGCCTCAGCCAGTGTTTGATTGTTAAAAATCTCCATAACTGGAAAGTACTGTATCACTCGATGGGGAAAGGCTTTCACAGAGGCAGTAGGAAAAACAACCTGCCTAGGGCAACAGTATTATTACGAGACTAAAAACAAAACTCTATTAAGAAATGCCCAGAATGACTCCTACTTACCAGATCCAAACACTTTCTCTGGATTCCTTACTCTAAGCTGCACTTGGCATCAGGTAGATGATTCAAATGCTTGAAAGGCACCCTCTGGCCTATATTGGATCTGTGGAGCATGGGCATATTGGCAACTGCCAGCAAAATGGGCAGGGGCGTGTCTGTTAAAAGCAATCAAGCCATCCTTCTTTCTAATTCCTCTAAAGCAAGGGAAATTCTTAGAATATCCAGTTTATAATAAAAATAAAAGAAGAACTAGAAAAAGCATAATCACAAAAGTAACAAAAATATCAAAAAAGATGTGGACACAGGAGACTAAAAAGATAATAAATGACCTCCTGAAAGAATCATGACATGCTATGGGCCAGCTACCTAGGTGCAAGACAGGTCATGAGGGTACTGCACCATAATCTATATCCTCAGCCGCATCATGAAGTTGCAGGCAGTCCTTCAAATCATAACCAATGAAATATCGAGGGCACTAGATTTATTGGCAATACAAGCAACACAAAAAGGAAATGCTATATATCAAAATAGGCTGGCTTTAAATTATCTCTTATCCTCCGAAGGAGGAATATGTAGAAAATTTAATTTAACCAACTGTTGCCTAGAAATCAATAGCCAAGAAATCAATATTAGTGGTCATAAAAATTACAGCTAGAATGCACAAGTTGGCCCAGGTTCCACTTCAGACTTGATCCAGGTAGTCCCCGGATTCCTTGTTTGGAGGATGGTTCTCAGCATTTGAAAAATTCTAAACCCTCATTAGTAGGTTCTTGCTTATTCTTTGCATCTGCCTTATCCTCCCTTGCCTTTTGTCTCTGTTTATTAGGAGTATTCAGTCAACTATGGAGGCAATGGTAGCCCAAAACACTACTGTACAGTCTGTACAGTTGATGCATTAACCAGATATCAGCCACCGCCAGAAGAAGAAAAAGCTCAGCTCCATGAAGACTTGGCAAATAATGGTGCTTTCTATTAACACCTCTGTTATAAAAAGCACCAATGGGGAGAATGGAACAGGAATTATAAGAGATTAAAGAGTGTGTAAGCAGAAACTCACTTGTGTGTAAGAAAACCCAACTTCTGTTGAGAAAGAGTAAGAGCTGCAGTCCTTTAAAAACTAACTGCCTGTTTTTCTGTGGCTAGTGATCCTTATCTCTCCTCCTTTCCCAGGGATTGTGAAGACCCTGTTTCCCAAGCTGTGAAGCTGCAAGGTCACTAGACAGATAAATTCAAGTCACAAAACAGGTTTTTCCTTGAAAAGTAAGAAATAATGTAATGCATGTCTCAATTGAATAACTGTCTTTGTTTCTTGCTTCTGTAGTATGATTCTCCCTGCACAAATCTCTCCCCACCCATGAAATGCTTAAAAGGTAACTTAACTCTTTGTTCAGGACTCATTCTTTGGATGTTAATCCGACTGGACCAGTGCACCTAAATAATTAATAAATACCCTCCTGAACCCCATCGGCCTCTCTGATTTCTTAAAATTCCACTACATACAGACTTCTCTACTATTGACCCCCACATTCTTTTCTTCCACACAGGAAGTCCACATATAAAATCGTGTGTGAAACTGTTCTATTTGAGGTGTATTTCTGTGCCCTAGGATCCAGGTAATCCCTTACATTTTAAATTCTTGCTTTTTTTGTGGCTCACAGTATGATGTTATCAAAAATTAGGCAAATATTCTGATACTTTCTTAATTTTACAAGGGGAGAATTGTCCTTAGATAATTACATTCTGGAAAGGCCATAATGAGCAACTCTGGACCTGATTGATTGTCATTTTTGGGTCCACTGCAGGGCTGCATACTAAGGGACAGTGGTCATTCTGAGTTCATAGAAAAAACCTGACATGAGAGGGGACATTTTGCTAGACATGCCACCTGGTGCACAGAGCTGAAAAATGAGACCTGCTGGTGACTTGCTTATCAAGCTTAGGGTCTTGAGGGCTTTTTAAATTCCGTGCTTTAAAAGCTGGCCTCACATCCTGAGTTCAGAAAAACCAAAATTTTTTGTTTTCTATAGACTTTTTGGTTGAAAATCCCTTTTCCATGGACTTTTAAAGTAGTTATTTACAGCACAAGCCCCATGTCTAGTAACAAAGGTGTCAGCCATCTTCAAAATGTGTTTTTACTAATACTTTATTTTTAAGCTTTATTAACTAAAGATATATTTATTTATAGTCACTTTGAGTCTCCAGGATAAATATTAGTCTTAAATTGTTATTTCTCGTAAAGTCTTGGAGGTTGCTAAGTTCTACTGTTTTGCACGTAAAAAATCAAGAAACTCTTTAGTACAATATTAGAAAATACTTGTATTTACTTAGATTTTATAGTACTATTTTTATTTTTCTCTTTATTTCTTAGATATAGGTACTCAAATTTCTACAAACTGACAACATAATATGCTTACTTGAAAATATTACCAGAATAATTGAAGTTGATAATTAAAAATGAAAGATAAAAAATATGAGAATTGCTGAAGTCTTGTGGTGGGTATGTATGATAAATGTTAGTTTATAATTCTCCCTATGTTTGCTAAGATTTTTTATTTTCATAATATCTTTTAAATATATAATTTAAACATCTTCTCACATGTTTTATCAATAAATTTAGGAGTTCAATATTGAATTTGAGTGTTGAAATTGGTTACAAATGAGGGACAAAAGAGCAGCTTTCTAATTGGCCATACACTAAAAGTACCAGCAACTGTGGACAGGGGTGCCACTAACACACTTTATTTAACATTTTTGCTGTGAGTCATTTTTGATAAGGAATATTTTAACCCTATGATGACATCATAACAAGTTTCTAATAATCAGTGACTCAGAGTGGTCTTCAATAGTGTACTATTATTTAATTTACATTTCTGGCCTGGTAAATCTAAGCAGGTAATTTATGTCTATTAATACATTTTACAATTGTAATTTTTTTCTTATAACTATTTGCCATGAAGATTTTAATGTTATAACTATATCTTTGTCTTTTCCTCTTTATTTAACATGCCTTGAGATGAACAATAAATGGGTTTGGTTTTACAGTCTGTGACTTAGTTCTCCAAAAGTCAACAGTTCCATTTGGAAACATTTTAGAGGGATATAATTTTATAACAAAACCATCACATGTTTTAAGTGTACAATTCCAAGTTTTTAAAGTGTATTTACAGACACCCATAACCACAATCTAATTTTGAAATAACCTTATCACTATGGAAAAAGAAATTAATCTCTTTTGTACTTACTGATTTCATTACCCTGGTCATAGGCAATCATTAGCCTGTTTTTATATATAAGCCTTTTATTAAAAGTTATTTTAAGTGAAATCATAAATTATCTGCCCTTTTGCATTTGGTTTATTTTACTTACTTTAGTGATTTTGAGGTTTTTTCCTGACATAGCAGGTATTATTACTTCATTTTCTTTGTTTGGCACATAGTATTTTATTGTATGGACACACCACACATTATTTTTTCTGTTATTATTTGATGGATATTTTGGTTTTATCCCCTTTGGGCTATTATAAATACTGCTGCTTTGATCATTTACATCTGATTCTTTGTGTAGTCATAGGTTTTCATTTCTTTTGAGTACGTAACAGAGTAAAATGTCTCAGTCATATGGTGATACTATTTATAGCATTTTGAATAATTGCCAAATTGTTCTTTAAATCGGTTGTTTTTTACACTCCCACATACAATGTGTGAGGCTTTCATATTTTTGATATCTTTGGCAACCTTTCTTATTGCCTTTTACAGGTCTTCTAGTAAGTATGTCATTGAGCTTTTGATTTGCATTTCTCTAAACTAATAATGTCATATATTTTAAATTTAATGACAAATTTTGCTTCTTATCTGTAGAAATTTTTCATTCAAATTCCTTGCACATTTTTCAAGTAGTCAATTGTCTATTTATTATTGATTTATAAGACTTTGTGTATTTGAGCAAGATGGCTGAATAGACAAACCAAGGTGGAACAGCTGACACCAAGGGACCAGGATGACTGGCACACTCTTAACCGAGGGCAGGTACTGATAGTGGAAGGAGGAAAGACACAACATCTGAACTTAAGATTCAGAAGCTGGGAACCCTGCACAGGGCTAAAGCACAGTGGAACTGATTTCTGGCACCCAGTGACTCTGAGAAAAACAGGTGAGTTTAAGTGGCAAGGAGCTACCTGCTTTCCTGACTGGCCTCTGGAATCCCACTGGCAGAGACCCTCTGACCATCATGGAAAATGAGTTGAAAGGAAGAGCTGCTTAGAGAAGTGACAGGGGCAGCACACCAGCCAGTGCACAGCCAAGAGGGTTTATTGTGGGAACATGTGTAGTGAAGCATGTCCAGGGATGCCCACACCAATAAGCTTAACTTGCTCCCATAAGAGACGTTAGCCCTAGGGGAAATTTTGGAGAAAAAGTCTGCAGGGTGGTGGCCCATCAGATGGGGCTGCTTTGACCTGAGCTTGCGTTGGTGTGCTGGCCTCTCCTGCGACCCCAATTCGGCCCTGCATGCTTGCAGTGCAGCCTTGAGTACCCTGGGGGCCTGCATCATAGATCCTGAACTGGCAGATCATGTCTGACTAGTAGACAGCTCCAGTGGGGTGACCCCATCCAGGCATCAGCCTGCCTGCTGCCTCTCCTCACTGCAGCTTCCCCCCAAGGCCCATTGCCACCCCACACATCACTATGCTGGTGTGTGTGTGTGTGTGTGTGTGTGTGCATGGAAGGATCTTGCTTTCCCTGTCCTGTCAGTGCACATGTGCATATGCATTCTGCCCTGGCACTGCTGTTGGTAGGAGTGTACTCCAGGCCCCCTCTCCTGCTATACCACCACTGCAGACAGAATCTTGGGGGAAACAGAGGCCATCTGCCCCACAACACCAGCATCCTGCTCCTTTGTCAACACTGTCATTTGAGTACAACTAAGCACAAAAAACAGCATACTCTCCTCAGCCCTGAGCAGCCACCTTCGCCTGCATGAATACACACAAAACCACTCGACTGAGCCAACCTTATAACACAATTAAACCCTTAAGGTCATCAAGCAGAATAAAAGGAAAAATCCAAAAGTTGACAACTTCAAATATTAAAGAAATATCACCCCAGAAAGATAAGAAAGAACAAGCACAAAACCTCTGACAACTCAAAAAACCTGAGTTCCTCTTTTCCTTCAAATGGCCACACTACCTCTCCAGTAAGGTTATAAATCAGTCCAAGATAGCTAAAATTACAGAAATCAAATTCAGAATATGAATAGAAATAAAGATCATTAAAATGCAGAAGTAACTTGAAACTCAATTCAAAAACGTTAAGAATCATAATGAAATGATACAGGAGCTGAGAGACAAAAGAGCCAGTATTAAGAGCATAACTAACCTGAGAGAGCTAAAAAAATCACACTAAATTTTTTTATAAGAAATTCACAACTATTAATAGTAGAATAGACAAAGCTAAGGAAGAATCTCAGAGTTTGAAGACTGTTTATGTGAAGTAAGACATACAGACAGAAATAAAAAAGAGTAATAAAAACCCCCAAGCCTCTGAAAAATATAAGATTATGTAAAGAGACCAAAGGTATGACCCACTGGTGTTCATGAAACAGGTGGGGAGAATGGAAGCCATTTGAAAAACATATTTTAGGATATCATTCATGAGAACTTCCCCAACCTGGGGAATGCTGGCTAGAGAGGCCAGCATTCAAATTTAGGAAATGCAGAAAACTCCAGTAAGATACTTCATAATATAATAATCACCAAAACACATAGTTATCAGATTGTTCAAGCATGAAATAAAAGAAAAAATGTCAAATGCAGCTAGAGAGGAAAGGGAGGTCAACCACAAAGGAAAGATTATCAGTGTAAAAGTACGCCTTTTAGCAGAAATCCTACAAGCCAGAAGAGACCAATACCAATATTTAACCTCCTTGAAGAAAATAAATTCCAATCAACAATCTCGTATTTGGCCAAACTAAGCTTCATAAGTAAAGGAGAAATAAAGTTCTTTTTAAACAGGCAAATGCTGAGGAAATTCATTACTACAAGACATGCCTTACAAGAGCTCCTGAAGGAAGAACTAAATATAGGTGAAAAAACCATTATTAGCCACTAAAAAAACACACTGAGGTATACAGACCAGTTACGCACAAACAAGTCTGCATAATAAGCATCTACCATTATAATGGCAGCATCAAATGCACACATATCAACACTAACTATGAATGTAAATGGGCTGAATGTTCCAATTAAAAGGCAAACAGTAGGAAACTGGATAAAGAACAAAGAACCAATGATATGCTGTCATCAAGACTCATTTCACATGCAATCAGTTTCATAGGCTGAAAATGACGGGATAAAAAATCTACCAAGCAAATGGAAAACAGAAGAAAGAATGGGTTGCAACCCAAATTTTAGACAAACAGACTTTAAAACAACAAAGATTTAAAAAGGCAAAAAGGCATTACAAAATGCTAAAGGGTTAAATTCAACAAGAATATATGTATTCAAATTTAAATATATACATTTTAAATATATACACACCCAACACAGGAACACCCAAATTCATAAAGCAAGTTCTTAGAGGTCTTTAAAAAGACTTAGATTCCTACACAATTATAGTGAAAAACTTCAACAACCCATTGACAATATTAGATTATTAAGGCAGAAAATTAACAAGATATTCAAGATCTGAATGCAGCACTGGATCAAATGGATGTAACAGACACCTTCAGAACTCTCCACCAAAAACAACAACATATACGTTCTCATTGCCACATGGCACATACTCTAAAATCAACCACTTAATCGACATAAAACTGTTCTCAGAAATTATAAAAGAATTCAAATTATGACAACCACTCTCCGAGACCAGAGTACAGTAAAATTGGAGGTAAAAGTTGAGAAAACCAATACTCAATACCATATGATTACATAAAAATTAAATAACTCACTCCTGAATGACTTTTGTGTGAATAATGAAATTAAGGCATCAATCAAAAAGTTATTTGAAAGTAATGAGAACAAAGACACAACCTACCAGAATCCCTGAGATGCAACTAAATCAGTGTTGAGAAAAAAACTGATGTTGCTGAACACCCACCACAAAAAGTAACAAAGATCTCAATTTAACCACTCAATATCACAACTAAAACATCTAGAGAATGAAGAGCTATCCAACCCCAAAGCTGGAAGAAGACAGAAATAACCAAAATCAGAGATAAACTGAGATTAGGACACACACAAAAAAACTAAAAGATTAATGAATCCAGGAGTAGGTTTTGTTTTAAATGTGGACTACTAGCTAGACTAATTATAGAGGAAAAGAGAGAAGATCCAAATAAAGACAATCAGAAACAACAAAGGGGATATTACCACTGGCTCCTCAGAAATAGAAATAAACATCAGAGAATATGATGAACACCTTTATGCAAAAAAACTACAACACCTAGAACAAATAGATAAATTCCAGGACATGTACACCTTTCCAAGACTGAACCAGGAAGAAATTGAATCCCTGAACAGACCAATAACATGCTCCAAAATTGAATCTGTAATAAATAGACTATCAATTTTAAAAAGCCCAGGAAAAGACGAATTCCCAGCCAAATTCTACTGGATATGCAAAGAAGAATTTGGTATCATTCCTACTGAAACTACCAAAAATTTGAGGAGGATCATCTTCTTCCTCACTCATCCTATGAGGCCAGCACCCTTCTGATATCAAAACCTGGAAGAAAAGCAAAAGAAAGAAAAATTTCATATCTTTGATGAATATTGATGCAAAAATTCTCCATAAAATACTGGCAAACCAAATCCAGCAGCACACCAAAAAGCCTATCCACCACAATCAAGTAGGCTTTTTCCCTGGGATGCAAGGTTGGTTCAACATATGCAAATCAATAAATGTGATTCATAATACAAACAGAACGAAAGACAAAAACCTCATGATTATTGTAATAGATGCAGAAAGAGCTTTCATTAAAATTCAAAACCACTTTATGTTAAAACTCTCCATATACTAGGTATTGAGGAAACATGCTTTGAAATAATAAAAGTCATCTATGACAAACCCACAGCCAACATTATACTGAATGGGTGAAACTGGAAGCATTTTTCTTGGAAACTGGCACAAGACAAAGATGCCCTCTCTTACCAGCCCTGTTCAACATAGTATTGAAAATCCTGGCCAGAGCAATCAGACAAGAGAAAAAAATAAAGGCATTCAAATAAGAGGAGAGGAAGTCAAACTACCCATTTGCAGATTGTATTAGTCAGTGTTCTGTGTTTATGGATTGGAAGAATCAATATTAAAATGTCCATGCTACACAAAGCAAGCTACAGATTCAACGCAATTTCTGTAAAAATACCATTGACATTCCTCACACAAATAAATACAACAGCTCTAAAAAATCTTAAATTTATATATAATCACAAAAGACCTAGAATAGCTAAAGCTATCCTGAGCAGAAAGAATAAAACTGGAGGAATCCCATTACATAGCATACATTATTACATTACACAAAATTATACTACCGATGTGTAGTAACCAAAACAGCATAGTACTGGCATAAAAACAGACACACAGGAAAATGGGGCAGAATAGAGAACCCAGAACCAAACCATCCATCTACAGTGAACTCATTTTTTACATAGGCACCAAGAAAATATATTAAGAATAAAAACTCAGTCTCTTCAATAAACAGTGATGGTAAATCTGGATATCCATATGCAGGGGAATAAAACTAGACCTCTATCTTTTGCCATGTGCAAAAACTAAATCAAAATGGATTAAATATTTAAATGTAAAACTGCAAACTATGAAACTTCTGAAAGAAAACATTGGGGAAATTCTAAAAAACCTTGGATTAAGCAAAGACTTCTTGAGTAACACCTCACAAGCACAGGCAACCAAAGCAAAATGGAAAATTGGTATCACACCAAGTTATAAAATTTTGCATGGCACAGAAAAGAATCAACAAAGTGAGAAAACAACCCACAGAATGAAAGAAAATATTTTCAAACTACCTATCTGAAAATGGATTTGTAACCAAAACATAGAAGGCGCTCAAATAACTCTATAGAAAATAAAATCTAATAATCCTATTTTAAAAAATAGGCAAAATATGTAAACAGACATTACTCCGATAAAGACACGCAAATGGCAAATAGGTATATGAAAAGATGATCAACATCATGAATCATCAGAGAAATGCAAATCAGAATTACAATGAGCTATTACCTCACCCCAGTTAAAGTGGGTTTTAGCTAAAAGGCAATAACAAATGCTGACAAGCATGCGGAGAAAAGGGAACCCTCATATGCTGTTGGTGGGAATGTAAGTTGGTGGAACCACTATGGAGAACAGCTTGAAGTTTCCTCAGAAAACTAAAAATAGAGCTTCTGTACAATCCAGCAATTTCACTGTTAGGTATATATCCAAAAGAGAGAAAAATCTGTGTATCAAAGTGATAGCTGTACTCCTGTGTTTATTGCAACACTATTCACAATAGCCAAGATTTGGAAGTAACATAGGTGTTTATCGACAGATGAATAAACAAAAAAGTGGTACATATACACAATGTAGTACTATTCAGACATAAAAATGAATGAGATTCTGTCATTTGTAACAACATGGGTTAAACTGAAGGTCATTTTATTAAGTGAAATAAGCCAGGTATAGAAAGACAAACTTCACACGTTCTCACTTATTTGTTAAAGCTAAAAATTAAAACCAAAGAATTAATGGAGATAAAGAGTAGAATGATGGTCTCCAGAGGCTGAGAGAAGTAGTAGAAGGTTGAGGGCGGGGAGGTGGGAATGGTTAATGGGTATAAAAATATAGTTAGAAAGAATGAATCAGTTCTAGCATTTGACAGCACAAGGTGACTCTAGTTAAGAATAATTTAAGTGTGCATTTTAAAATAACAGAAATTGTATAATTTGGTTATTTGAAATCCAATAGTAATACTTCATGTGATGAATACCCCATTGACTCTGATGTAATTATTACACATTGTATGACTGTATCAAAATATTCTATATACTTCATAAAGGTATACACCTACTATGCACCCAGAAAAACCAAAAATCAAAAAATTAGGATATACTTTAAGACAACAAATACTATTACTAGAGATGAAGATAGATTATAATTAGAAGGATAAATTCATAAGGAAAATAAATTAACATATATGAATGTAACAAAAGTTCACAGAAGTACATAAAGCAAAACTGATAGAAATAAAGGCAGAAATAGTTGCAACAATAGTTTCAACAATAAAAATTGCAAGCTTCACTTCCCCACTTACACTATTGGGTAGAAGAACTAGACATAAGAGAAACAAGGAAATAGAAGACATGAATAACATAAACCAAATAAAACTAGAGATATATGGAGAACTCTTCACCCCAAATCAGAATGTATATTCTTCCCAAATGCACATAGAACATTCTCTAGAATGGAGAATATGCTGCATCATAAAAAAAATCAATAAAATTGAAAGATTGAAATAATAAAATGAATGTTTTCTAATCACAAAAGAGAAAATTAGAGACCAAAAAAGCAAGAAATTTGGGAAATGCAAACATGTGTGCATTAAATGACACAATCTTAAATAATTAATGAATAAAAAATGTACAAATAGTGTCAGAGAATATTTTAACATAAATAGACATTTAGACAAAACATAATAAAATTTATGAGACTTAGTGAAAGTTGAGCTCTGAGGGAAACAGCAGAATTACTTTATAAAAAACAAAGAAATCTTAAATTAATAGCTTAACGCTTATGGAAGCATTTAAATAAAAATGAACTACCCAGTTCACCTGGAGCAAACACTATCAGTGGGGTAAAAAGGTAGTCACGCTGACAATCGTAGGAGGAAATACTTGGAAACAAGACACTGAGAATTAGGATAGTGATAGTACTCCTTGGAATCTAGAAAAAAATGGGGATGCTCTAGGCTAGACAGATTCTCAGGAAAAACGCTAAAACACTAAGCTCCCACCTGTTTGTCTTTTAATCTCTGCATGAACAGAAAGTATAGGCACAAGCAGAGTTAGGACTTTATGGCACACATAGAGATTCTAGATGAAAGGATCAGAAGATTCATATTTTGAGAGGGCTAAAATATCTACAGTCTTGCTGTCCTATTAAAGTTTAGTGAAACTATATTGCAGATTCGCATTGCTCACTTCTTCCAGTAATCCAGTGATCTAGTAAAGCTTGATTTTGCCATTTGAATCCTCTGATAAATGAAGTCAGCCTCTAACTTGAGGTACTTTTTGGGATGTTGGAGTTATGGTCACCATGACGTTACTATTGGTTACACTAATTTGTAAGTCAACAATGAGCTTGCTACAGAGCTGTGAAACTGAATTCTGACCCCTGAGGGAGGTCGTTAGCTTGATCTTTCTGTTTTTAGATGGGTCGATTTGAACTCTATGAAAAAGACCACAGGAGGCCACTTGGTAAATAGAAATAACATATTCTAGAAGGAAATTAGACTAAAATAGAAACGGCACTAAAGTAAAAATTAAAATTCATATTCGGTAGAAATTTTATGCCACCCTCTACTATCTCAAGCAAACTTTCTGACTCTGTGGGACTCCCCAATTTACTGAATATTTTCTAAATATCTGTTCCTGGTTCACTAATGGGCCAGGGAAGATGACACCTCATGGCGTTCACTGGGCTGGTGTGGGTGTTTGATCTCATTGTCAGCCAATGAAGAACCTGAATCTGGGGTGATTACTTCACTCAATTGTCAGAACTGAGAGTTCCGGGTTATTGCCACATTCTACGTGTTTAGGCTTCCATATTGAAAATGATTAACTGTCTAATTAAGAACATCTTCTTTGGGGCTGCAAACTGAAATTTATCTTAGCTGCTGATCTAATTGTAAGGCCATTAATTTAGAAGTTCACAATTAGGGTTATCTCTCCAAAGAGATGAACAACAATCAAGCCTAAATCCCTGTCTACTGCAGAGGTCATCACTGCATGCCAGGTTGGTGGTTCTTGGAGAAAGTTGATCTACGTGTCCCATGTATGGGGAAGTCCCAGACCATTTCTGGCAGAATGACTGTCTTAGACTTTTGACCCGTTACTTGAAGTATTTGTCACTACTGTTGACACTTTCAGCATAAAGATCAGCTGACTCCAGCCACATTATGTGTTACTTGAAGCTAATCCATGTCATCTTTTAGGTATTTGAGACCGCTTAAATTCTCTCTTTTTTTTTTTTTTTTTTGCTTTTATCACCATATCTATTAAAATGAGCCAATAGTCTCATTTTAACTTATTTTCCTCATCAGGGTCCACAGCTTTTGGTTAGGTAATGTGTTGATTAAATGGTTTATTAGTCACCTTCTTTGGTCCCAGAAGAGATTATCTCCTGTTGACTGTCTCTAAGATATAGATAACATTGTTATTGAGTAAAAGGAGCTCACTTCTTGAAGTGCTAGAAGCCAATACTATGACATCAGGTTTTAAGAGAAAGCAATTTTATACTGAAACGTTACTCTCAAGCTCATTGCCTCCTCATGGATGTCATGGGCAAACTGAAGGGGAGTTGTGATGAAACAGGCAGTGAAAATTCAGACGGTGACCTCAGCAAGGTGATTCTGCCAAAACACCATTTGGCCATAATGATTCCACCAATTTAAGCCAGTTTGTTTATTTCATAAGTAGAGGGAGTTTCAGTGTTTTGGCAAGTTGTGTTTTTGTTTTTTTTTTCTTTTCTGTTATTCTGCAAGCTCAAGATTTTCTGTTAGATACTGGCTTTCTTTTAACTCTGCAGAAGTGTTGCAAAATGATTGGGGCTATAGGAATCTATTTTCCAAATCTGAGTTTCCACACTGACATTCCTGGGCAAGATGTGATTTCTCCTAACTGCAACCTCCAGGCAGCCTGGTTTGTATGATTTCTGAGTAGCAGCCCAGTCAAAAAAGGGGTTATGGAACTCCAATTTAGTTCTGATTATGGTGTATATAAACATTCTTGTCTCTATTACAACTGGATCTACTACATAAAATGTCTACAGCAAAATAGGAGGGGATCAGATAAAGGTACAATTATAAGTATTGGAATGGATCACATTAATTCTGAGGATATAGAAGGGGAGCAACAACCTGAAACCAGGGGAGTGAACGACTTAGATCTCAGGAGCTATGGGAAATGGATAGGCATGAATAACCTCTTTTCCTTCTGAATTGCCCCTGGCACACTCCAGAAAAGTCTGGCAATAATTTTGGGATAGGATGAGAGTAGGGTTAGTTAGACCAGGTGGAAGTGCAAAGACTAAGTTTATTTTTTCCATTCCATCCCCCATATCACCCTTAAGAATCCTTTGGGCTGGGCACAGCAGCTCACACCCAGCACTTTAGGTGACCAAGGAGGGTGGATAACGAGGTCAGGAAATCGAGACCATCTGGCCAACATGGTGGAACCCAGTCTGTACTAAAAATATAAAAATTACCCAGGCAAGGTGGCACATGCCTGTAGTCCCAGCTATTTGGGAGGCTGAGGCAGGAGAATTGCTTCAACCTGAGAGACCAAGGTTGCTGTGAGCTGAGATGATGCCACTGCACTCCATCTTGGATGACAGAGGAAGACTCCATCTCAAAAAAAAAAAAATCCTTTGTAATTATCCCATTTCTCTGCAATGTAGTAATGAAATTCTAGTGAGGAGCATGCGTTCTCAGTGCCCAGTTGTCTGAGGCCACAGTTGAGTTGCTTCAGGGAAAAAACAAACAAACAAAAAAAAACCAAAACCAAAACACAAAAGCAAAAGCAAAAACAAAAACAAAAAACCCTATTGCTTTTGTTTTTTTCTAAAAAGATTAAATGCCCCATGGTTTAAAATAAGCTGGCTCTACAAAACATTGAATTCATCTTTTATTTTCTCTGTGAGCAGAGGCTCCTCCTTGTGTTTTTCTACCATCTAGAGATGAATCTATATTTGTCAATATTGACATAAATTGGAGACATAAATCATGTAAGAACCCTAGACAAGCCTTCAAAATAATCTGAGTCTTGCTCGTTTCTCTTCTCAATTATGTTGTCAGAGAGAGCTACCTGAGATGAAGTCTCTCAGGAATAGTTAGAACATTGCACTTCTAGAGAAGATGGTGAGACAGGGCAAGACTCACAGTGAGAATAAAAGCTTCTTCTCAATCTTTCAGTGTATCTGTTTCTGGTAGATGAATCCAGAAAAGATTCCAGAGCCAGGGAAGAGCTATTTGAGAGGGTAGAATCACTGTAGATCAGAGTACTAGGTCATATGTTTATTAGTCACCTTCTTTGGTCATATTCTCAGTGCTAAGCCTCTGATAGGGCTTCAGAGCAATGTATGCCTGTGAAAATCTCTAATTCCATTTGAAAGATGAAGTTCTGGCTCTGGGAGAAGTCTCCTATCTGACAGAACATCATGCTTCTGTGGGCATGAGATTCTGTGCCCTTCCTCAGCAGACACCACTGACTCAATAATTGTTTAAGAATCATGCATAAATAGGCCTTCCTTATCATGAATCTCTTAAATAACAAAACAGAGAAAACCCATTTATCCACGTTCAAATTGAATAAGAGTGTAAGAAACTTCACAGAAATTGTTATAGAAGGAAACTCTTGGGCTCTGTCCATCTCCAGAAATCTCAAAATTCTGGCACAATCTGTTACAATTAACCTTATCAGAGCTTGAATTTTTTTTTTGCTATATATATTTACCTTTAATTGGACCTTAATTTTGTTATATGTTTTAATTTAATTTTATTTTTTTGATGGAGTCTTGCTGTGTCTCCGAGGCTGTAGTGCACTGGTGTGATCTCAGCTCACTGAAAGCTCCACCTCCTGGGTTCACACCTTTTTCCTGCCTCAGCTTCCCTAGTAGCGGGGACTACAGGCGCCTGCCACCACACCCAGCAATGTTTTTGGACTTTTAGTAGAGACGGGGTTTCACCGTATTAGCCAGGATGGTCTCGATCTCCTGACCTTGTGATCCGCCTGCCTTGACATCCCAAAGTGCTTGGATTACAGGCTTGAGCCATCATGCCCGGCCAAGGATAAACCATTGTTTAACCTTTGTGATAGAAACATCAAATTCCCATATCCCAAGCATTAATAATACTGTCCACTGCAATTGTTATTGCTTATTAACTTTTTGCTATGGTCTGGATATTTGTGTTCCTCACTCTCCACATTCATATTTAAAAACTTAATCCACACGTGGATTCAGTGTGATACTATTAGTTATTGGAACTTTGAGAAAGTTATTAAGTCAGGAGGGCTGCATGTTAACGAGAAAATAATAGTGCCCGTGTGACGGAGGTTGAAAGGAATATTCATGCCCCTTCTGTCGTGTGAAGACATAGCTAGAAGGTGCTACTTGTGAGGAACAGAACCTCACAAGAAAGAGCCTCAGAAAGTTGTTATACAGCAGAACATCTTTCTCTCTTGAGAGATTCTGGCCAACAGTGCTGTATGGTGGACTGTCTTTAGAATGTGAGTTTTTGGTTACCAGAATACTTAGTACTGTTAGGACCTTTCACCAAAGAAATGAGGTCACTTCTTGAAGGTATTATTCTTCTTTCAATAAGACCTATCTTCCTTCAATAAGACCTACTCAAAGGCTTTTCTGCACTGCTGACTGCTCACCATTCTCTCCCAAGTCATCTGATTACTTGTGCACAATTATGCAAATACAGCACCTCCTGCACCAGTGCCGGAGGAAATGGAATGCAGCCAGAGCCACAAGTTTGAGGATACAAGCTGAGTTAAAGTCTTTATGTTTAATGTATTAATTCTGTGATGCCAAGTATGTCATTGTGCCTCTCAGGGGCTCCATAGTCTCACAGCCTGCACAGTGGGGATTATGGTGGCATCCAGCTGCAAGGGATCTCATGAGATATGTATAAAATGATACGCATGACTGTTGGGTTTGATATTAAACACAGCTACTGCGTAAACTTAGAGAAAGAAACTACAAGGGATGGGACATTGCTTGAATATCTCTCAAACATGCCTGGGTTTTATAACTTGAATCTTGAGAAAGTCATGTCCCCTCTTGAATTTATTTTTCAAACTCCACCATGAAAACATTGAAATTGAATAAAATTTAGATGTTGTTATTCTTTGGCCAGAACAACAACAATAACAACAACACACATTGTAGTACCTTCTCGTTATATTTAGAATCAGGCCCATTTGTCTCACCTTGGCATACGTAGTGCACAGCCTTCATGATGGCTCATAATAATTTTTATTTCCAACTATACACACCCAAATGTAAACAGTAAGTGGTTAGTGACTCACTTCATGGCAGTAGAATACATTGGAAAATAGGGAATGTCACTGCCAATATTTGATTATGAAAAGATTGTCACTTGCTTCTTACTTTCTCTCTCTTGTGATATTGTTTACTTCCTTTTTTCCTGTCTTTCTCTCTGTCTGTCGCATACTTTGCTCTGGAGAAGCGAGCTTCAGTGTTTTAAGCTTTCATTTTTACAGGCTTGTGTGACAGAGAATAGAGAGAGTGCCCTGACCAAAGACAGAAAGAAACTAAGAACTGAGTCAAAACAATAATGCACAACTAACCAGATTGAGCTCAGAAGTGCATCCTTCCCAGTCAAGCTTCAGTTGAGACACAGCTTCAGTCTCATGAGTGAGAGGTGACAGCATGCTGGCAGCCCTCACAGCCCTCGCTCACTCTTGGTGCCTCCTCGGCCTTGGTGCCCACTCTGGCCGCGCTTGAGGAGCCCTTCAGCTCACCGCTGCACTGTGGGAGCCCCTTTCTCAGCAGGCCAATGCCGGAGCCGGCTCCCTTATCTTGCGGGGAGCGGGCAGGAACCGCGGCTGCCCGCGGTGCTTCCGGGCCAGCGCGAGTTCCGGGTGGGCGTGGGCTTGGCGGCCCCGCACTTGGAGCGGCCAGCTGGCCCCGCCAGCCCCAGGCAGTGAGGGGCTTAGCACCTGGGCCAGCAGCTGCTGTGCTCGACTTCTTGCCAGGCCTTAGCTGCCTCCCCACGGGGCAGGGCTCGGGAACTGCAGCCCACCTTGCCTGAGCCTCTCCCCCACTCCTGCCAAGGGCTCCTGTGCGGCCCGAGCCTCCCCAACGAGCTCCACCCCCTGTTCCATGGCACCCAGTCCCATCGACAACCCAAGGGCTGAGGAGTTCGGGAGCACAGCGTGTGACTGGCAGGCAGGCAGCTCCACCTGCGGCCCTGGTGCGGGATCCACTGGGTGAAGCCAGCTGGGCTCCTGAGTCTGGTGGGGACTTGGAGAAACTTTATGTCTAGATAAGGGATTGTAAATACACCAATCGACACTTTGTATCTAGCTCAAGGTTTATAAACACACAAATGAGCACCCCGTGTCTAGCTCAGGGTTTGTAAATACACCAATCAACACTCTGTATCTAGCTAATCTAGTAGAGACGTGGTGAACTTTGTGTCTAGCTCAAGGATTGTAAATGCATCAATCAGCACCCTGTGAAAAGGGACCAATCAGCTCTCTGTAAAACAGACCAATTGGCTCCCTGTAAAATGGACCAATCAGCAGGATGTGGGTGGGGCCAGATAAGAGAATAAAAGCAGCTGCCCGAGCCAGCAGTGGCAACCCTCTCGGGTCCCCATCCACACTGTGGAAGCTTTGTTCTTTCGCTCTTTGCAATAAATCCTGCTGCTGCTCACTCTTTGCGTCCACACTGCCTTTATGAGCTGTAACACTCACCACAAAGGTCTGCAGCTTCACTCCTGAGCCAGAAAGACCACGAACCCACCAGAAGAAAGAAACTCCAAACACATGCTGACATTAGAAGGGAAAAACTCCAGGCACGCTGCCTTTAAGAACTGTAACACTCACCGTGAGGGTCCGCGGCTTCATTCTTGAAGTCAGTGAGACCAAGAACCGACCAATTCCGGACACATGAGGACATTGTGGTAGACCCATTCAACTAAGCTGTGTCAGTATTTGTAGCCAACAGAAAATAAGACATAATGCATATTTGGAATTTTAAGCCACTACACATTGAGCTAATGAGTAGAATTATTTTTTCTAATTTTATTTACTGATTGCCCTTAGTTACTGTATAAAAGTGCAATTTAATATTGTGCATTTATCTTGTATCTTGTGACCTGCTGAACTCATTTATTAGTTCCAGTTGATTTTTGTAAACTCTTTAAAAATTCTTGAATATAAGTTGATGCCATTTACAATAAAAGTTTATTTTATAAATTTAGAAGTTTTATTTGTTTTTATTATATAATTTCTCTGCCTAACACCTTTAGTTCAATTTAGTAGAGTAGCGAAAGTAGCCATGCTTATCTGTTTCCCACAACTGTGAGGCAAAGAGCCTAGTCTTTCATCAGCAAGTGTAATATTAGTGGGAAATTTTTATGAATCCTTTTTAGTAGTTCCAGTAAGTTTTTCCTTCCTAGTATGTTAAGGATTTTATAATGAATCAGTGTTGTTTGTATCACAAGCTTTTCTGTGTCTATTAAAAGGATCATTTTATGTTCTTCACTTTATCAATGTTGTGTATTAAATTATTGGTTTTTAGATATTAAGCCACTTCATTTGTAAAAAGATTGTACTTGGCCATGGTGTATAATTACTTTTACGTGTTTCTGTATTTAACTTATTAGTACTTTTTGAGAATTATGTGTCTTTATTTATCAGCTGTATGTACCCATATTAATCCTAACACATGATGGGTTTGTCTGGCTTTGGTATAGTAATATTGGCCTCATAAAGTAGTTAGGGGTTGTTTATCTCTTATCTATGTATGGTGTGTATTTGTAAAGGATTGGTATTTTTATGAAATATTTTGTATAATTTAACAGTTAAAGTATTTGACTCTGATTTTTCTTTGTGGTAAGATTTTTAAAATAATTTAATCTTTCATTATAGGTCTCATATCTCCCACTTCTTGAGCTTCATTTGTTAAATTGGGCCTATCAAGTTATTTACTTCTAATTTGTAACAATCCATGTTTCCAGATCTAGGCAGCTGGTATGCCTGTTATGTGGGATAATGTAGCTTTGTGAAAGTTTTACGTATTATGTGGGATAATGTAGCTTTGTTAAAATCAATAAATAGCCAAGTTTTTCCTCAGCTTAAGGATTGAGACTATAATTTTTATACTTCATACTTGCATGTATTGCCTGAGTCAAAAAAGCTATTACATCTAAAAGAAACCAGTGAAACATATCATTTGACATGAAGTTTTATCAAAATGACACATTAGCCTAACCCCTTTTTCACAAATATTTAGAAAAGAAAAGAATAAATTTAAATAAGATTACAAAATAATTTAGTCAATAAAGAATATTATAAGGAATAAAAATTTAATGAATCAGGGTTATTAGTACTTAGTAGCCCCTACAATGTTTTAGAAATTATTCTAAGTCATTTACCCACATATACTTAATAGCTGAGTCTAAAACATATAATACAGAAATTTGTTAATAATGACAAATTGAAATATTTACAATTATATTAAATGACATTAAGACCATCAGAAATCAAATGTTTAACATACAGTAACTAAATAAACACAAGTAATGATAACTTTATTAGAAAGTATGACTACTAGCAAGAGAGAAAAATTAATAAAATTTTTCAGCAGTGAACCAAAGATACACACTGTATGACAGAGGGGGAAAATAAATGGCAAGGGTTTAGGCCTAACAATATCATTCATTTTATGAGAGCAGAAATTCAACAGCTCATATCTTTTAGGACACTAAAATGACAGTAGAAATTCTAAATTGTACTCAACAAGTAATATTTAGCCATGCACAAATTTTGTTTCATTAAATTAATTTATAAAATAAATATAAGATTTCATGAATTATTTTTGTGAGGTCAAGGACATACTAAAAGGAAGCACAGAGTTCTGTTCTCTGTAGTTAAGTATATATTTTCATAAAGGCACATAAAAGAAAATTTTAAGTATCAAAAGAACTACCCCTTACAAGTGACTATTACTACATATTTGAGAGAGATGTTTTGAATGAAGAAACGGAATATCTCATAAGATGTGGTTGTATGCTGCCCAATGCCTATGAAATATTCTACTCATGTGTACACTGCATATTTGTGCTTTCAGAAGAAAAGGCTACATATTTTTAAATATTTTAGTGTAGACAAGTAAAAGTTCTCAAGAAGCTACAAGAACTATGAAAATAATGAATACAGTTTAAAAATATAGAAGCACTTGATGAAAGCTAAAGTAAATCAAGAGAATAAGCCAGAGAAGTAATCAAACTGAAAAAAAGTGGTCCCTTCAGATACTGATAGATCACAAGGATGTCAAGTCTGTATGCTGTCCACCTTCCTCCAAGGGAAAATGGAATAAGCACAGAAATAACATGACTACAGACATCTCAAATGTGATATTTCCCAAATATTGGAACCAAGTTAAAAACTAAAGAACACAAGTAAATAAAAAGAAATTTCTGAAGAAAAACTAGGCCACCATTTTCCATATTCAAATATCATATTTGAATCACAGCTCGGTAGAATGTAAAGAATAAAAAAATTAGGACAAGGTATAGGTGAAACACTAAATTAAACAGAGATAAAAAATTACCTGAGTATTGAATAGAATGAATATAACCAAATATAGTAAAGAGAGATGACATATTATAAGATATAGTTTTAACAAGATAAAGGCTGGGATGAGACACTAAACATCTTAATTATTTTATTAGAACAAAAAGTATGAATGAGGCAGAGCAAATAAGGCCAGCCCGATCCAAGATTTGGGAAAAGAAAATCTTTCCCTCCATGGAAGCATCCTCAAGTGTACATTGCAGAGGGCCCAGATCAGAGAGGAATGAGAAGTGATTGCCATTCTTGCAATCAGTGTTATGCGTTTTCTTGCAGCCCAGGTTTATATAACTGTTGTAAGTCCAGTAAATTGTCTATAGCTGCACATCTATTAAGAGGCTGAGACAGCAGTCAGGACCAACTTTGCTAAATGTCCACAAACTACTCTACCTCATGGAAATTCTCTGGATCTTGGAGACTCTGGAGAGTGACACTTCTGCAAATAGAGGCATAATTTATTTGAGATTTTTATCCATCTGTTATTATCCTTTACTGTTAGGAATAATCTCCTCTGAAAAATGCTTTTGACCCACCTTGGAAGGTCTTTTAATAGTTTGGGAAAGTGGGGCATGGCAAGGTGGCTCATGCCTGTAATCCCAGCACTTTGGGAGGCTGAGATGGGTGAATCATGAGGTCAGGAGATCCAGACCATCCTGGATAATACGGTGAAACCCTGTCTCTACTAAAAATACAAAAAAGTAGTCGGGCGTGGTGGCAGGTGCCTGTAGTCCCAGCTACTTGGGAGGCTGAGGCAGGAGAATGGCATGAACACGGGAGGTGGAGCTTGCAGTGAGCCGAGATAGCTCCACTGCACTCCAGCCTGAGAGACAGAGCAAGACTCCGTCTCAAAACAAAAAAAAAAAAATTGGGAAAATGGCTGAGGGCTGAGGTTAGAAATCCAAGGTAAAACATTATGTTATATATTTTACATCATAGAAGAAATTTGAAAACACATAGAATACAATCCGCTATTCATAATTTTTTTTGAGCATTTTCAGGCTATGTTTTTGACATAGACTAAGTTGAATTACTGTGCCAGAGACAATCTCGTGTCTAAAAGCAAGTGACATAAAAATAGATCTGCAAAGATACATTTTCTCCTGCTTTAATTTAAGTAAACAGCTGAGTACATCTTCAAGTTGTACTTTGAGTTCAGTAAGATAAATCTGTTTTTTAAGACTCCAAATCTAGCACTAACAATGGGTCAAATCCCTGCAACAGACATGAAAATCACAAACAGCTAATGCGTTCCTCATCCTGAAATTCTCGCTGCCAGCACAGCAGTCTGAAGTTGACCTGGGCCAATTGAGGTCAGTTGGAGGGAGTGGAGTCCACCATTACTGAGGCTTTAGTAGACAGTTTTCCCCTGACGGTGCCAAGGAGGCTGGAAGGTCCGGGTTGGGTGCAGCAAAGTGGCTGTGGCAGACTGCTTCTTTAGAGTCCTCCTCATTGGGCAGGTCATATTTGAAGGAAAGGTAACAGCCCTAGTCAGAGGCTTACACAGAAAACCTCTATCTCCCTGGGACAGAGCACATGGGGGAAGGGGAGGCTGTGGGTGCAGCTTCAGTGGATTTCATCATTCCTGCCTGCTGGCTCTGAAGAGAGCAGCTGATTTTGACTAGAGGGATTCTGCCAGCACAGTGCACCAGCTCTGCTAAGAGACAGACTGTCTCCTCAAGTGGGTTCCCCGTGACTCCTGACTGGGAGAAACCTCCTAACAGGGGTTGACAGACACCTCATACAAAAGGGCTCCAGTTGGCATTGGGCGGGTATCCTCCTGGGATGAAGTTTCCAGAAGAAGGAGAAGGCAGCAATCTTTGCTGTTCTGCAGCCTTTACTGGTGACACCCAGGTGAACAGGGTCTGGATTGGAACTCCAGCAAACTGCACTGGACCTGCAGAAGAACCTTGCTGTTAGAAGAAAAACTAACAAGCAGAAAGCAACAACATCAACATCAACAGAAAGGACCCACCCAAAAAAAACCCCATCCAAATGTCATCAGCCCCAAAGATTGAAAGTAGATAAATCCATGAAGATGAGGAAAAAACAGCACAAAAATGCCAAAAATTCCAGAAACAAGAATGCCTTTTCTCCTCCAAATGATCACAACACCTCTCCAGTAATGACACAAAACTGGATGGAGAATGAGATTGAAGAATTGACAGAAGTAGTCTTCAGAAGGTGGGTAATAATAAACTCCTCTGAGCTAAAGAAGTATGTTCTAACACAATGCAAAGAAGCTAAGTATCTTGATAAAAGGTTATGGGAACTGCTAACTAGAATAACCAGCTTAGAGAGAAACATAAATGGCCTGATGGAGCTAAACAATGCCTTTAAGTTATATGGGACTATGTGAAAAGACCAAACCTACGATTGATTGGTATACCTCAAAGTGACGGGAAGAATGGATCCAAGCTAGAAAACAAACTTTAGGATATTATCCAGGAGAACTTCCTCAACCTAGCAAGACAGGCCAACATTCAAATTCAGGAAATACAGAGAACATCACTAAGATACTCCTCGAGAAGAGCAACTCCAAGACACATAATCGCCAGACTCTCCAAGGTTGAAATGAAGGAAATAATGTTAAGGGCAGACAGAGAGAGAAGTCAGGTTACCTACAAATGGAGGCCCATCAGACTAACAGCAGATCTCTTTGCAGAAACTCTAGAAGCCAGAAGAGAGTGGGGGCCAATATTCAACATTCTTAAATAAAATAATTTTCAACTCAGAATTTCATATCCAGCCAAACTAATCTTCAAAAGCAAAGGGGAAATAAAGTCCTTCACAGACAAGCAAATGCTGAGGGATTATGTCACCACCAGGCATGCCTTACAAAATCTCCTGAAGGAAACACTAAATATGGAAAGGAAAATATGGTTCACCACTGCAAAACCACACCAAAATATAAAGACCAATCGATACTATGAAAAAACTGCATCAACGAATGTGCAAAATAACCAGCTAGCATCATGATAACAGGATCAAATTCACACATAACAATATTAACCATAAATATAAGTGGGCTAAATACCTCAATTAAGAGACAGAGCCTGGCAAATTGGTTAAACAGTCAAGAATCTTTGGTGTGCTATATTCAGGAGACACATCTCACATGCAAAGACACACATAGGCTTAAAATAAAGGGAAGGAGAAATGGCAAATGGAAAGCAAAAAAAGCAACAACAACAACAAAAAAAGCAAGGTTTCAATCCTAGTTTCTTGTAAAACAGACTTTAAACCAAGATGAAAAAAGACAAAGAAGGGCACTACATAAAGGTAAAGGGATCAATGCAACAAGAAGAGCTAACTATCCTATATATATACCTACCCAACAGAGGAGCACTGAGATTCATAAAACAAGTTCTTACAGACCTATAAAGAGACGTAGACTCCCACACAATAACACTGGGAAGTTTTAACACCCCACTGCCAATATTAGACAGATCAATGAGACAGAAAATTAACAAGGATATTCAGGATTTGAAATCAGCTCTGGACTAAGCGGACCTAATAGACAACTACAGAACTCTCCATGCCAGACGAACAGAATATACATTCTTCTCCATGCCACATAGCACATATTCTAAAATTGACCACATAATTGGAAGCAAAACACTCCTCAACAAATGGAAAAAATGGCAACCATAACAAACTGTCTCTCAGACCACAGTGCAATCAAATCAGAACTCAGGATTAAGAAACTCACTCAAAACCACATAAATACATGGAAATTGAACAACCTGCTCCTGAACGACTACTGAGTAAATGACAAAATTAAGAGAGAAATTAAGTTTTTTTTGAAACAAATGAGAACAAAGAGACAATGTACCAGAATCTCTTGGACACAGCTAAAGCAGTTTTAAGAGGGGATATGCTAGCACTAAATGCCCACAACAGAAAGCTGGAATGATCTGAAATCGACACCCTAACATCACAATTAAAACAACTAGAGAATCAAGAGGAAACAAATTCAAAAACTAGCTGAAGGAAAGAAACAACTAAGATCAGAGCAGAACTGAAGGAGATAGAGACAAGAAAAACTGTTCAAAATCAATGACTCCACTAGCTGGTTTTTTGAAAAGATTAACAAAAGAGATGGACCACTAGCTAGATTAATAAAGAGGAAAAGAAAGAAGAAACAAATAGACACATTAAAAAATGATAAACAGGATATCACCACTGATTCCACAGAAATAAAAACTACCATGAGAGAATACTATAGACATCTCCACACAAATCAACTAGAAAATATAGAAGAAATGGATAAATTTCTGGACACATACACTTTCCCAAGACTAAGCCAGGAAGAAGTTGAATCCCTGAATAGACCAATAAAAAGTTCTGAAATTGAGGCAGTAATTAATAGCCTACCAATAAAAAAACGCTCAGAACCAGATGGATTCACAGCCGAATTTTACCAGAAGCATAAAGAGCAGCTGGTAACATTTCTTCTTAAACTATTCTAAACAATTGAAAAGGAGGGACTCCTCCCTAATTCATTTTATGAGGTCACCATCATAATGATACCAAAACCTCGCAAAGACACAACCGCAACAAAAATTTCAGGCCAATATCCCTCATGAACATCGATGTAAAAATCCTCAATAAAATACTGGCAAACTGAAACCAGCAGCACATCGAAAATGTTATCCACCATGATCACGTCAGCTTCATCCCTGGGATTCAAGGCTGGTTCAACGTATGCAAATTAATAAATGTAATCCATCACATAAACAGAACCAATGACAGAAACCACAGGATTTTCTCAATAGATGCACAAAAGGCCTTAGATTAAATTTAATATCCCTTCATGTTAAAAGCTCTAAATAAACTACGTATTGACGGAAAAAGTCTCGAAATAATCAGAGCTGTTTATGACAAACCCCTAGCCAATATCATACTTAATAGGCAAGTGCCGGAAGCATTCCCTTTGAAAACCAGCACAAGACAAGGATGTCCTCCCTCAGCACTCCTATTCAAGATAGTATTGGAAGTTCTGGCCAGGGTAATCAGGCAAGTGAAAGAAATAAAGGGTATGCAAATAGGAAGAGAGGAAGTCATATTGGTACCAAAACAGATATATAGACAGATGGAACAGAACAGAGACCTCAGATTGCAGGGATATGGAGGAAGCTGGAAGCCATCATTCTCAGCAAACTAACAGGAACAGAAAACCAAACACCACATGTTCTCACTCATAAGTGAAATTTGAACAATGAAAACACATGGACACAGGGAGGGGAACATCACACATCAGGGCTTGTCAGGGGGCAAAGTGAAGGAGAGCACTAGGACAAATATCTAATATATGTGGGGCTTAAAACCTAGCTGACAGTTTGATAGATGCAGCAAACCACCATGGCAAATATAAAACTATGTAACAAGTCTGCACATTCTGCACATGTATCCCAGAACTTAAAGTATAAATAAATAAATAAATCTCCAGCAAGGAAGGAAACCAGAGATCAGGTTGGAGTCTTGCTATTCACATCTGAGTATACAGACTCACTCCCCAACTCTCTTATTTTTATTCTGCCAGCTCTGACCTGAATATGAACATAACAAACACACAAGAGTTCCAACACCTGACAATCGGCTTCTGCCCAAGAAGTGTGCCCTCTCTTTTGTCCATCCTGCAACTCATGGTACAAAGAAGTGGTGTGGGGCTGCCCAGATGAGATGATGAGAGAGGCCTGGCCTCGATGGACATGTCCTGGGCTGCTCTGTGTTATCTGTAGGTGCACTTGGCCAATGGCCAGGGGTATCAGGAATGAGGGCTGAGTTGATATCTGTGTTATCAGAGAAGGCTTTTACATTGAGGCTTTGTAAGGCTAGAACTCAGAAATATCAAGGCACAATGAAAGGACATCTCACTCTCTTGAGCATCTCTCACCAACAGAGGTGGATACAGAGCTGTCTCAAGAATGTGGGTTCCTGGTTTCTTAACTGCTGTGGGGTTCTGTCACCAGGAAAGTGTGTTAAACTCTTCAAGGTTCCATCTACTGGGCCCCTTATTTCTGTAAGACCTACCCAAAGGCCCCACTATGCTATTGATTGCTCAGTCTCCTCTTCCATGTCAACTCTTTATTTGTACACAATTATGCAAACACAACTTCCCCTTAATTCCCTGGAAAGACCTAAATGCATCCTGGGTTCCAGGATATAAGAGACAGCTGGAAAATAACCTTGTTTTTCTTACCATCTCTGGGACCTAATAAAAGTCACTGTGTATTTGAGGCTTCCCCAGCCTCCTAGCGTGCACAGTGGGGATAATGTTATCTACTTCCTAGGGAATGTATCAGATGTATATAAGATAAAATGTAAAAATCGTGGTGTAGTTTCACATGTAAATAATGCACACACTTAGAGATGGAAGCATTAGGAGAATAGGTGGGAGGTAGCATGGGCCACAACTCAGGTAGGCCTGGGGTCCAGCAGTGTAATCTTGGGAAAGTCACTTCCCCACTGGGCTTCAGTTTCATTCTGCTGCAGTACGAGGTTGAAATTAAATGTAGATATCATCCTCTGGCACTGATGTGGTTTAGCTGTGTGTCCCCACCCAAACCTCATTTTGTATTATAACCTCCAGGTGTTAAGGGAGAAACCTGAGGGGAGTTGATTGGATTATGGGGACGGGTTTTTCTTATGCTGTTCTTGTGATAGTGAGTGAGTTCTCAAGAGATCTGATGGTTTCATAAGCTTCTGGTGTATCCCCTGCTCTCACTCACTTCACTTGTTGGCCACCATAATTGGAAGGTTTCTGAGCCTCCCCCACCCAATCTTGTGGAACTGTGAGTCAATTAAACCTCTTTTCTTTATAAATTACCCAGTCCCAGGTATTCCATCATTGCGGTATAAAAATGGACTAATACAACTATTAAACTTTCTAGTGACTTCTTATTATATATAGAATTATATCCATGTGCCTTATCTCACCTAAGTTGGGGAAAGCCTTCACAAAGTCTCCCAGCACTAGGTGGTTAGTGACTCAGTTTGTTATTGAACAAAATGACCTACTGCTCGATGCCAGTAGTATGGCACTTGGGTTTTGAGAAAAATGGCATCTTGTTGTAGGTTGGCCAACAGGAGACAGGAGTCCAGCTGAAATCAGTTTCCTTATATAGGCTTTAAGGTGTTGATTAAAAAATGCTTAAGAAGTGGGCTCTGGATTAGGAGGGGATTGCTGGAAGGAAAGTAGTAATATGGAAAGTCATGAGACATGCACAGTCATCTCCTCTTGTTTCCTCACAGGTCACATGAATATTCAGGGAGAGTTAATATGAAACATGCAACGGAAATTTGGGCTCTAACATCAGCAAACTCATTCTCCATGGACTTCAGTTGGCCATATTGCTTCCAACATATTTCAGCCAATTTTTTAAAATCTTATAAGCAGAGGAGATTTAAGTGTTTCAACAAGCTGTTTCTTATCTTTCATTCTGAATATCCAATTTTTAAGTCTTTTTTTTTTAACAGTTTGAAGGCACAAATTCAGCTTCTGTCAAATGGAATACAGAATAGTGTATGACTTTTGTATTAGTTCAGGCTGCTATACCAAAGAACCATGAACTAGACAGCTTATAGACAACAGGATTTAATTTCTCACACTCCTAGAGGTTGGAAATTTGAGATCAGGGTATCAGCATGGTTGAGCTCTGGTGATGACTCTTCTGAATTTCAGACTGCACACATCAAATTTTATTCTCATTTGGTAGAAGGAGACAGACATCCCTCTGGGGTTTCCTGTGTAAAGCCAGTAATCTCAATCATGATGGCCTCAACCTCAGGAGTTAATTACTACCTATCTCCTTATAGCATTACACTGGGGGTTACAATTTTAATACAAATTATTGTAACTCTCAAGTTTTTTTAAAGCTGTCATTATTCCTCCTACTGGGTTTTTCCTATTTGCTTCCTCAGTCTTTCCATTTCTTTATGTCTCTTTGTGTGAAACTGTTTGCCTAATTCTGTCTCTCAATTGTATTCCTCAAACAGAGGAAGCAAGCTCCAATGCTATGAGATGCTCTATGTACAGACGCACATAACAAAGAACGGAGGGAGTGCTCAGGCAGTAGACAGAAGTAAAGTCATGCTCTCAGTCTACCCTGAACCCTGCCAATTTTCACAAGCATGAGCTTAAAGGTTGATGCTTTTCCGGTCCACATTCAGTTGAGACCACAGCCCCAATCTCATAAGAGACCTGAAGGCAGAGGCAGCTAACTAAACTGTGTCCAGATTCTGGTCCACACAAATTGTGAGATACTATATACTATTGAAAGGTGCTAAGTTTTAGGGCAATGTTGTCAGAAAGGAGCAGATATCTAGCCTCATCTCCCAAGCCCCAGGATTCTCCATGCCTCTGCTTATCTCTTCCTCAGGCTGTCTGTACCAAATTGGTCCCTTTCTAATCTCTGCCAAACTCACACCTGTAAGACTCTTCACCAAGGGTGGCTTCTCACTGACACATTCTTGTGCAGAGATGCCTCCCTGTTATCATTCTCATCATGGATTAAAGATCACCTCAGTGAGGACTTTGGGTCCCCCCATTCAATGACTTTGCAGCTCTTCTTCTCAACATTCTACTTTATATAATAGTCCTTGCTCTTTTCTTTTATATATACTTGCTTTAGTGCTTTTGTCGAGCTGACTTCAGACTGTTCTGTCCTTGGAGGGGTATGCAGGCATGATGTAATCATTTTCTGTGCCACATGTTGGACCCACCAGGGTAGCTGGCAAAGGGTGAGTGCAAGGGAAAAAAGATTGGCTAAGTGGGCAATGTGGAAATTGTTGATAATAACATGAGGTGTGTGACTCTTACTTGCTCCAGCTGCTCCAGCAAAGCTCAATAGGCACCAGAAACACAGCAGGCTGTAACCACCTCCAGGCCATCACTAACACTGCAGCCCCATGCAGGAACATTATGGAACAAATCAGGTACCATTGTTTTGTGTCCTCAAGACACTGACTCTTTGGAGTTCCAGAGGACAAAGGAGCAGAATCTGAAGGCTCCAAGTACACTGAGTGACCTTGGAATCCTCCATTGCCCTCTCTTTGCCTCCACCATTTGGAGTGTGCCATTTACTCATGAGGCACCCTCCCCTTATCCAGGGAAATTATTTAATACGACTTTCAAATGAGGAGCTCAAAAACCCAACAGGAACTGGCATTTTCCCATGACTTCAGACTCAGGGTCCAGTGTTCTGACACGTTTAGCTCTATCCCATCTTTATCTACCCAAAATGCCTCTGGAGTGGCCATGCCTCTCTCTGATTTGAAGGGCCTCCAGGGAGTAGAAGCATTTCTGCAGAGTTTCAGAGCAAAGAGTCTTAGTTCACCAATGAAGAATCAAGGCTGGCAGACACTTATGAGTATGTGAAACAATCAAGGTTACCCACTTCGAGCACCCCTATTTATGAGGAAGAAAACAGTCTTCTCTGTAGCCATTGTCTACATTAGGCTGAGGTGGAGCATAGCTCATTTTACTTCCAGCTCTCCACAGAAGTGGATACAGAACCCCAGTCCTGTCCTCTTGAAACCGACCTGGAGAGGACCCCATGTGAGACACAACCCTGGAACTGCTCATTCTCTGTGCCCCTGGATATGTATCTAGGGAAGCGGATGCCCTTGCCTTATGGCAGATCTGCCCGCCCAGCTATTCATTTGTAATACATGGCCTTTAATGCTTTGAAGTGAATTTACTTTACACCTAATTTGTTGAGAGTTTTTATCATAAAGCGATGTTCCTTTTTGGAAAAAAGTTTTATTCGTCTATTTAAATGTTATGCTTGATCCTGGGTCTGTCGTTCTGATCAGAAGCTGACAGGTGCATCCATTCCTAGAGGAGAGCATGAGAACATCAGTTCTCACATTCTGTGATCATGACCTGCTTATAATGTCCACTCTGAGTGTCTGACTCCCTGAAGTAAATTGTGGCCCAGGAACTGTCATCTGTTGTCTTCACTGAATTAGGCCAAGTGTCTGGAAAACTGCGTTATATATATGTGATGAATAAATAAGCCCTAACTACAACCTTTTTAGCTATGTCTGAGTGTGCCTGGGGACTCTTTCCTACAGGATCTCTCTGTTTCAAGGACAAAGTCCAGCTAACAGGAAGCTCAAGTGCCCTTTACAAATGTAAGAACATGTTTGTTTTCTATATGATTGTCCAATTATAGAGGGACATGAGTCACTGTGACATGAAAGACCTTCTGGGGTGAAAGAAGAGAAAAAAGTAATAAATACGAACAATCAGAGCATGCCCCAGCAGGCTTTCCACAAAGCCGAGCATTAGGAAACCGCTTTTCATATTGTATGCCATTCATTTCTCACAAAAAACATATAAGGTTGTGGGGGAAAGTTAAATATTAAATTTGAATTCAATTGAACATGGACAAAAGCAATGGTCATTAAGTCTCAGACAGGTTGCATGAGCCGCTTGAAGCATTCATCTGGCACTGTTTTGGAGAAATATCTATTTCAATCTATTCCTATGTGTTAGTTATTGAAAAACCACAGACAACTGCAAAAACAAGATAACCTTTTCAAGTTCCTTGAGCCCAGTTGTGAAGAGCCCTCGTGACTGGGCCTCATGCCAAACAACTCATTACAAAAAGAACTAGGGCTCTAGGCCACGCTGAAACTTCCTAAGACCTCTTCTTGTCTGTGCAGGGATGGGTGACCTACTCTGGAGTCGAGGCTGTTGCTTCCCGGTCTGGTAATGAATCCTCCGCAGTCTGGTGGGCGTAAATATGTATATATGTTTCCCTTCTCCCCTTCCCATTGCAATTTGCTTATTATAGCTGCACTGCCATTTACGTCAGATAAAGCTTGTTTACCCTTAAAGGTTTTTTTGGGTGTGTTTTCTTCTCCCCTTGCATGTCTCTCGTACAGAACAGAGGTTCATTTTACAATTCTCTATAAAGATGCAAATTGAGGCTGATAAAGATGCACTGGTATGCTAAGACACAGTTAGTAGCTGGCAGAGTCACCACTGTGCCTTGGAGAAGACATATGCTCAACTACTAGACAGCTGGTCCAGGAACTACAGAGTGGTGAGGAAGTCCTGGTAAAACTTGAGAAAAATGATAAAAAGAAGAGAGTTTGACCCTGGAAGGCTGCTGTCAGGGACTTCGTCAGCTTCTCCGTTGTGCCTGGTTTGGCGCATTGGCATCATTCACACCTCTAGGTTAAGAATAGACTCATTTCCTCTTGGGGAGGGGACAAGACTTTTCATGGCAAGACCATGAAACACCAGAGGCTTGGAATGTGGAGCTTGGATGAGGAAATCTCCATCCTTCAGAGACTTGGGCATGTGGAGGACATGGGTGTTTATGGTGAAAAAGGTTTTAGGCCTCTGATATCAAATTTAATGTGGAGGTAGAGAATAATTAATCCATGAATACATTCAAGGCCTTCACGATATCATATCAGCTGTAAGACAACAGCACCCACTTGTATTAATAATCTTTATGAAGAGCATTATCCCAGAGAATTCCCAAAAAAACATACTCAGCCTACAAATGAGAAAATAAAGCTTTGTGATGTCAAATGGCTGCTCAGAAAAACACAAGTAAGAAAGAGAATCTTCCACGGTGGGGGTTGCATGAAATTCCCTTTAAGCTACCTGAGGCTCTATGTCTGTCCCTGACTTAGGGGGAAGGGCATGGGGAAGGCTCACTTTCTTTCTGTTTTAGAGACAGGGCACAGGATAAGATACCCTAAGACAACCCTTTTGACTTAAAGCAACTGAACTGGGTCTTTTAAAACCTTAAAGGGAGTGTTGAGAAATAACTACAGCAACCCCACACCTGACAAAGGTGTCAGTGCTTGGGGACTCCAAGGTGAGAGAAACCCCTCACAGGGCCAAGGAATTGAGCGGATTAACTGAGGGAACAGAAAACTCAAATAAGTATAAATCAACTGAAAGGTAACTCAAATATATCAGTTGAAAAATTGAAATAGAAACATGTTTTTTTGCCACATAGATAGCAGATTGACAAAAAAATTAAAAGAATGTTGACAACCAAGAGGTTCTGGATACATAAAAGCAGATAAATTCAGAAACTACTATTTACAGTACGGCTTTCACAACCCTTTTGGAATATATTCCGGCTTCTCCTATTAAACCTTTACACTTTCCTACTGTTTCACTGAGTAATCATTTTCCTGGGAGACTATAATCTACAAGGGATTAGTAAATGTTGTGAGCTAGATTGCATTCCCTTCCTAAAAATTATATGTTCATGTCCTAACACCTAGTGCCTCAGAACATGACTATATTTGAACATATAGCCTCTGCAAATGTAGTTAGGTTTAAGTGAATTAATTGGGGTGTATCCTAATTCCAGATGACTGGAGCCCTTATTAGAAGAGGCAGGAAGGACAGAAAAGCACAAGAGAAGATCTTGTGAACACAGATATAGTAGATGACGATCTACAAGCCAAGGATGGAGACCTCAGAGAAACCACACAGCCAGTAGCTTGAGGTTGGATTTCTAACTTCCAGAATTGTGCGACATTCAGTTTTTGTTGTTAAAGAACTTCAGCCTGTGGTACTGTATTAGGGAAGTCATAGCAAAGCGTTACAGCCTATTAGGACACAGATAAGATGTTCCCTGTAGCGGCTGGGCGCGGTGGCTTACACCTGTAATCCTAGCACTTTGGGAGGCCGAGGCGAGTGGATCACGAGGTCAGGAGATCGAGACCATCCTAGCTAACACGGTGAAACTCTGTCTCTACTAAAAAAAAAACCACACACACACAGAGAAAAAAAATTAGCCGGGCGTGGTGACAGGCGCCTGTAGTCCCAGCTACTCAGGAGGCTGAAGCAGGAAGATGGCGTGAACCCAGGAGGCAGAGTGCAGTGAGCCGAGACTGCACCACTGCACTCCCACCTGGGCGACAGAGCGAGACTCCGTCTCAAAAAAAAAAAAAAAAAAAAAAAAAGATATTCCCTGTAGCATGGCTGAAGTGGAAATAGAATTTATTGTGTCAGGCTCCACCAGTATTAAAAGCCTAAATTACTGAGGGAAAGGCCCCACTTATGGAATCTTATAAAGACATATGAGGACACAGCTCCTGTCCTGATGGGGCTATAGAGGTGGGCTCTGGGACACATATGTAAAGAGTCATATAAGACCCTTTTGCATAACTCCCACTTTTTGGGTGAAACCTCTCTCTAGTAACAGTGTGAACTTCTAAGACTTAGAGAAGGTCTGGCAAGGCAGCGAAGCTGCCTGCTCCAGGAAGTATGTGGGGTAGGTAGATATAACAATAAAAATAATAGCAAAATGCAAAGATACTCACAACTTAATGTAAAGTAATAACAACACAAAAGTGTTTCTTTTGACATTCCTGCAAGCATATGACCGGGGACTGTGCACCTAAGTTGCCATTATGGACTAATGGAGGCCAAATTCCTCTGGGAAGGAACTGTGGGTCCTTAATGGAGAAAGCCCTAAAACGGTTTCTGGGGAATCCTCACATTTGGGTCAGGGTCCTGGGCTTCCCTGGTCTTTTCCATTTGGAGACCTCTCTGTGCCCACCTTGACTCCAGACTAGCACGGGCCATGGTTGTTGGCATGATGCACCTGCCTTTTGTTCAATGAGATGGAGTAGTTGGACTCATCAAACAGCTCCTCAGGGATCTCCTCAATAGAGTTCTGCAAAGAGAGTGCCTGGAAGCCTGGCCAAGAGGCATCAATGGCATCCTGGCTTTCCCCACAGGGGAAATTCCAGTTAGAAAGTCTACTCCCCAGATCAGGCACATAGGAGCATTTGCGCAGACCTCCAGCCAGGGAGAAAACAAGAGGACAGCTTGAAGCCTTAGAATAAATGTCTGAACAAACAAAGGTGACCCCCAGCACTCACCTTCCCCTCCTGCCAACTGTAACCTGCGGTATAAATTTGACAGGCTTTTAGCCTCCCAATACCTGGAAACCTGCTCCTGTCAAGAAAGGACCCATTATCTCTTTCTTTCCCACGAGACGTGGAGATGAGGAGGGGTGTGTGCCTGCCGAGATGATATCAAAGGTGAGGCCTGGCCTGGATAGGCCTGCCATGGGTGGCCTTGTGTTATCTATGGGTAACCCTTTCCAAATGGCCAGAAGAGCCAGCAGTGCAGAATGAGCACTGTCTCCATCATAAAAAAAAGTCTCTCTGTTCAAGCCTTCCTGAGATGAGAGCCTCAGAAATTCAAGACATAGCAGGAGAACATCTTGCTGTCTTCAGAGTCTCCTTAGTAAATACAAAGCTGTCTCTAGAATTAGGGCTCCAGGTTACCAGAGTTCTAAACTTTCTTTGAGTTTGTAACTAAGGAAGTGAGGTCACTTCGAGATTCCATCACCTGGGCTCCGGTGCGGGAAATGAACGAGGGGAAAAGAAAAGGCACCCACAATAGTTTTAAGGATAAATAGCCTTTATCCCAAGTGTATGGCAATACAGACTTGATAAGCAAATAATATAATAAGCAAATTGCAATGGGAAGGACAGAAAGAAAATATATATATGTATATTTATATACATATACATGTATATAAATATACATATATGTATATGTATATTTACACGCACCAGACTATGGAGGATTCATTACCAGACTGGGAAGCAACAGCCTGGGCTCCAGAGTCAGCCACGTGTCCATGCACAGATGAGGAGAGGTCTCATGAAACTTCAGCACAGTCTGGGACCCTAGCTCTTTTTGTAATGTGTTGTTTGGCATGAGGCGCAGTCACAGGTGCCCTTCACAACTGGGCTCAAGGAACACAAAAAATCAACTTGTTTTTGCAATTGTCTGTTGTTTTTTCAATAACTAATGTATAGGAATGGATTGAAAGATTTCTCTGAAACAGCGCTGGATGAACACCTCAAGGGGTTCATGCAACCTGTTCCAGGACTTCGTGACCATTGTTTGTGCCCATGTTCAATTGAGTTCATATTAAATATTTAACTTTTCCTCCACATTAGATTCCCAATTCTCAGAACCATGTCCACTGCCACAGGGCCTGGCTGGGAATATTGTCACTCATAGAGTTTAGAAGATGGAATGCTGGTCAGTGATGATGCTAGGGTGTTAGGTGAAGGCAGCCGGGACAGTCCCTCTAGGTTGAGGGAGGAGCTGGCCTCTCTTGTGGGGTCCTTGGCATGTCATTGCCGCTTTGGGCCTCTGTTTTCTTATGTGGAAAATGTAGGAATGATGAGCCTGTTGGGCAGGCCTCACAAGGTGGTGATGGGGCTCAGGGAGACAGAGAATCTGAGGGTGCTTGTGTCTGGCTCATCCTGAGAGGGAAGATGGTGACAGCAATCATGACAACCACATGAAACCGAGGTGGTAAGAGGCCTTGTGAGGTGGTTGGTTCCCACCACACTTTCCAGTTGAGGAAACAGCTCAGGGAAACCCGACTGCATGCCCAAAATGACACATCCAGGGAGTGTTGGACCTGGGAGTGAGTCTAGAGTCAGAGCTTACTGGAGATGGTCAGAGCATTGGACAAGCTGACTCAGGCCACTTATCCGTGTCCAAGGTTAGTGTGGCTGAGGCGTAACTGAAAGAAGCATATTTTCACTGACCTTGTCCCTCATCCTAGCAGGTGAACACCGTACAAGTTGTCTACCCTGTAGCGGAGCCTCAGAGAGCTTAGATGAGGCTGTGACAGCAGAAGGTGAATGTGTCTGTGATGGGGAAGGGCTCCAGGGTTTCAGAGAACAGAGCTTACTTCTCCCAGCTGGAAACCTCCAAATCAAAAAAGCAGAGGGCCTTTCTACTCCAGCCCTTTTCTCCTGGGGCTGCAGTGCCTAAAACACCTTCATTAGACAGACCAGAGCAAGGCCTGGGAGAGCTGGGCTCCGTGTGGCTTTTAAAACAGGTGGAGCCAGGGACCACATGACCTTGTGGCTTGTTAAAATCCCACCAAGGAGGTAATTATGGTGAGGTTGGTGGCAATAGAGGCCAGCTAATGGGAAGACATAGAGAATTGGGAAAAGGCAGCTGAGGGTTCTCAGCTACTCCAAGTGGGTAACCTAGGTAGAGGGCGCCAGGAGGCAGGGGTTTATAAGAGTTCAGCGGACAGGACTTGGGTGGGCACCTCCCAAGTCATGCCCTCTCTGGGGACATTCCTCACTGATGTGGTGATGCTGGACATTGCCATGAAGGAGTGTGTGGATGTGAGTGAGCCTGGAGAAGACAGGTCAGGGACCAGGATCCTGAGGCCTGGGAGAAGAGAGTCTTGAACTGAGCTCCTAGATCTCAGTCCTTGCCAAAATTTTTTGCGAGGGCCTCGCAGCCCTCCCCATCCCGTAAACAGGGTATTTTACTCATGAGTGATGGAGGCTCCACAGCAGCCATCAGTCCCACTCCCTGAGTAGTGAAGCTGCAGAGCTGCAAGACCTCTTTTGTGCACATTCCCTGACCCTGGTGGCTCTGGTGGTGGTGAAGCTTGGAAATCGCTGGAAATGGAGGCTAGTTATGGACCAGCGGACCTTTCTGATGGTCTTTGGCTTTCTGTCTTCCAGAGAAATGTGATCAAAACCCAGAAAAACAGAAAGGTGAGCAGTAGCTGAAGTCCTCACTTTTAGGGAGGGTGGAGGTGGAAATGAGAAATCACCCTGGGCAGGACATTCCCTGGTCCCTTCTTCCGCATCTAAGATTTATTGAAAGGGAGTAATACACAGAGAAGGAGGAGACCTATCCTAATGCAGGGTGCAATCAGGGGAGTGAAGTTGATGACAACTTCCTAGAGGAAGAGCCGTTTACATTCAACTCTGAGAACCAGTTAGGGCTGCATGATATTGGAGGGGAGGTGAGAGCCCCTTAAAAGAAACACCTCAGAGACCAGCCCTCCTCCCTTCTTTTATAAGGCCCCTACAGAGTCTTTCACCCAGGCCCTGTCAGCATCCTGTCTTTCCCTCTGTCTCCAGAAGATTAAAGTCCTCCAGGAGATGCAGCAGTTCCACACAGCTGGAAACCATCATCATCTTCAGACTCAAGAGGAATTTCGGGCTTGGTTCCAAGCCTGGAGCAGCACAATCAGAATAAAAGGCAAAGACCTAGCAGATGAGCAGAGGGTAGGAGGGGAGACTGTCTTGCCGCCAGCCTCACACAGCCTGTGGCCAGGGTTCCCTGGCCAGCATCAGGTCCTGTTGCACCTGGACTCCAGCTGCTGGGGAGGAACTGGGGGACCTGAGGTGTGGCTTCTGGAACCTCACAGCTGTCACTCTTCTCTGAAGTTGCTAGCCATGAAGAACAGGCTGTGATAAAATCTCAGAGCCATTAAGTGCCTGTTGTTGGAATTGCTTTCATGGCTCATTGAAGTTTGTACTAAGCATGGGCTCTGGCAGTCAGGCAGCTCGAGTAGGGTTCCAGCCACACCATTGACCAGCCCTGCGAGTGGGGCAGAAAGCTCACTGCTCTGGCACTTGAGGCATCACGTCGTAAATTTAATGCAACCAATCCCCTTTTCACTGTTACCTACCTTTCTCTATAATCACCATGACCTGATCTCTGCTAGCATTTTTCTTAAAATGGATAAACATATGTTATATAGTATATATTATTCTTCCTCATGATTTTTTTGTTATATTGTCTCTTTCCACTCATATGAGATATTTACAGCAGTTAAGTTCATAGAAACACGAAGTAGAAGAGTAGTTTCCAGGGACTACACAAAGGGCAATGGAAGGGGAGTGTTGTTTACTGGGTACAGAGTTTCACTTTTAAAAGATTGAAAAACAGTTCCTTATGAACTTGGACAATGGTTGCAAAACAATCTGAATGTATTTAATTTCTTTAAACTGCACACAAAAAAAATAATAAAATGGTTAATTTCATGTATTTTTATATTTTACTAAAAGGTAAAAACTACTTTCTAAAATGAACAGACTATAGCTATTTGCAACTGGTGGGTGAATATCACAAATGTAATGTTGCATAAAAGAAAGCAGACATGCCAGTTTGGGCAACATGGTGAAACCCTGTCTCTACCAAAAATACAAAACAATTAGCCGGGCATGGTGGTGCAAGGCTGCGGTCCCAGTGACTCAAAAGGCTGAAGTGGAAGGATATCTTAAGCCTGGTAGGCAGAGGTTGCAGTGAGATCATGCCACTGCACACCAACCTGGGGAAAAGAAAGAAAGAAAAAAGAAGAGAGAAAGAAAGAAGGAAAGAAAGAGAGAAAGAAAGAAGACAGAAAAGGAAAGAAAGAAAGAAAACAGAAAAGGAAATAAAGAAAACAGATGTACAAGTATACATACTATATAATTTTGTTTATATAAAATGCTACAATCAAATAAAACTGAGGTTCTGACTTCCACTAAGTGTGGACTAGCTTGTTGAACTCTCACAAATAACAATGATGAAACTTGAATAAAATATATTATTATAGAAAAACGCCTATGCATAATACATATATGATATGTGTGTTTAACAACTGAATGAAGATTTCAGCTATACCCACTGTAGCGGACACAAGCATTGGTTTGACACTAGCCCAATGAACCCTGTTTATAAAACAAAAGTCTTCAAGGTAAAACAACAAAATCCAGAGTTTCTATTCTATAATTATCATTTATAGTTTCTAGTGCACAATTTTAAAATTCATAAGACTTGTAAAGAAACGTGAAAATGTCATCCATACACAATATCAAAAGCAGGCAGTAGAAGCTATCCCAGGATGTTGCAATCAGCAGACAAGAATTTGAAGGCAGTTTTTATGAATATGTTCATGGGGAAAAAAGAAAATATTCTATTCATAAACAAACAGATGTGGAACTTCAGCAGAGAAATGAACATATATATAAAAAAATTATAGATAAGGAAATGAAAAAAATCTTTTGAGTTTAGCCATAGATTTAAAACAGAAGACACAGCAATAGAAATTATCCAGTCTGGAAAAAAAAAAGTACAAAAAGTTTAAAGGAAATGAACAGAGCTCTCGAGACCTGTGGAATGACTGAGTCTAAGGAGAAGGGAGAGACAAAAAATATTAAATAGGGAACAAAAGTAAATCAACAACTAATAGCGGAATACTTCCAAAAACTGTCCAAATACCTAAATATTTATATCCAAAAGGTCAATAAATACAAAACAAAATACAAATAAAACCACAGCAAGGCCATATCGTGGTTTATGAAACAGGCAAGGCAGGGCTTTTGCTTGACTTGCTATGATATCTAATTGCTACTATTTATGGATACTATGGAAATAAATACTAAATAGAATGGGAGATAGGTTATTCTCAGAGTTTTTTTTTTTTTTTTTTTTTTTTGCAAAGATGACTGTTATTAAAGGTAGATGACTTTCCAGCATGTCGAAAGGGGCGTGGCAGGGGAGGGGCGAGGAGAAGGGTCGGGGCTGAGGGAGGGGCCCTGCAAAGGTCTGGGCGCGCCCAGCTCCCCGAGAGCAAGCTTTACGGCAACGCTGGGCAGGCTGTTGGAGGCTCCCGGGCTCTGTCTTGTCAGAGAGAAATCAAACTTCAGGGACAAATAGTCGTACAAGTGGCACGTGGGGAGACTGTGTCACAATTACAAGTGAGACCACCTGCCCTGGCCACGCTGTCTCCTCGCACGCAGAAGTTTGGGAACAGATAGGCTCCCCTCAGCAGGGCGGAATTGCACTGGAAACATGGAGGGGCGGAGGAGAAGATGAAATTATCCCCTCAGTGTTGGAACTGTAGTCTCAGAGAAGATGAAATTTTCCCCGTAGTGTTGGAACTGTAGTCTCAGATCCACTCACAGCCTTTCTGTCGCGGCAGTCGGACTATGATCCCAGCATGCGCTGGGCTTAAGGGAGGTTCCCAGCCCTGGAGGAAGGGTCAACAGGGTGGGTCCCTCGCAAGGCGTCCTGGGAGTCATAGTCCTTAAACGGTTTCCAGCACGTTGATCGCAAGGCTACCGAACTACAATGCCAGCATGCACCGGGATTGGGGCGGTGTGTAACGCTGGAGGGAAGGATAGAGAGGCGCGTCCCTGGCCAGGGATGCTGGGAGTTATGGTCTCTTAATGGTTTCCAGCGATGGCCCCCGGCCTGCAGACTAAAATCCCAGCAGCCACCGGGCTTCGAGGCGGTGTGTAGCACTGAAGGGAAGGATAGGGAGGTGCGTCCTTAGCCAGGCGTGCTGGGAGTTATGGTCTCTTAACAGTTTCCAGTCAGTTGGTCCCAGGATTACCTGACTACAATCCCAGCATGCGTTGGGCTTGGGGGCGGTGCGCAGCCCTAGAGGAAGGATCGGGACGGCGGGTACCTCGCAAGGCATCCTGGGAGTCATAGTCCTTTCAGTATTTCCAGCCCATTGGTCGCGAGGCTAACGGACTACAATCTCAGCATGCGCTGGGTTTGGGGGCGGTGTGTAGTATGGAAGCGAAGGATAGGGAGGCGCGTCCCTAGCTAGGAGTGCTGGGAGTTTTGGTGTCTTAACGGTTTCCAGCCCATTGGTCGCCGACCTGCTAACTACAAAACCAGCATGCGCTGTCTGTCCTCCCCCGTGGTGCGCAGCCCTGGAGGGAGGGACAGGGCGGTGTGGACCTCGTCCTTTCCTAAGCGATGCCACATGCTGATTCTGTGCCACCCCCTCGCCAAGGGAGTCCGCAGAAGGACTTGAGGGGCAGGTCTAGGCTGGGCGATGAGGACGGTGTGACCCTGCGAAGTGCACCTCCCTTGCTCAAATCGGAGGGGTCTGGTCCTCACTGAACAGCCCGCTGAACATCTCGGTGTCCTCTCACATACACACCCGCGGGGGGTTTCCAGAGCATCGCACCTCTTCCAGCCCAGGGAGCCGCCTGCTCTGCTAAACTCTATGGGAACTGAGACATCCACCTGCTGCGTGACCCACCCGTGCGCAACTTCAGAGCTTTCAGGGGGTGATGCGGGCTGTGGCTCCTTCGTGAAAATGTCACCGTCTGCAGCGCCTTTCTTGTGATATAGAACTTGACGGGTGAGAGCGGGTATTTCTTGGGTTACTCAGGATCTGCTAACAGCAGAGGAGAAAACCACAATTCCCAGGCATAAGAATCTACCTAAAGATGATGGTTTAGATATTTTACAGTTGAAATCACCAGCCTCATCTCAACTGAGTCCTGACTGACGAGTGTCTCAAAAAAGCAGTTGGTGACCTCATCCCTCAGGAACAGGTGGTGCTCCAGCTTTGTGGGGATGACTTTCAAGGTGCAGAGCACTTGAGCCGCATTTGAAGTCATTCGTGTTTTACATCTCTGCTTTGGATGGAAAGTTGATCCCCCACAGCCGTTGGGGATGTACCTTAATATACTGGGGCTTATCAGTTAAATTTTTCTGTCTAGACAATGAAAACCCAGAAGTTCCACTTGCAGGTAGCCTCTTAATAATCGACGTTCCTAAGTTCCTTATGTCCTCAGGATAGTTCCTTTTGTTCCCAGATGTTACCAACTTTGATGATGCATCTAATCTGTACAAACCTGTGTATTTCTCTATGTGAAAAGAATACTTTGTTCAAATTACATGTTCTTATAAATTTCACTTGTGATCGGTGAGTATGGGACACTATAAAAAAATCCTGAAAAACCTCATCATAGCAATTGAATCACGTTACTGTACTTTATGAGGAATTAACCCCTTCAGGATGAATTACTCATGGGTTCATCAGCACATTTGTGAAGAAAGGAAGAAAAACTGTATGGCCTTTATGAAATTGGAAAAATAAAGAACTATATATAGGAGGACCACAGCACAATACTAGGACCCTTCTCTTATTTTAAATAGACTCTATGGGGTCGAATGCCTGCATTCCTAACCTATCCTGCAGTATTCTCATCCTACTCTTCACTGTGTATTTAGGTGGGGGTTTCTGAATTCACTTGTCCACAGCGTTAGTGGGGATGTTGTAACGTGAGGGTATCCATCATCTATCATCTTAATAATTAATGAAGAGAAGAGCCTTGAGATCTGTCTTCAGATACACTGCTGTCGAGTATGTGCCTGCAAAGACACTGCCCACACCGGTGGTCTCAGAAAGTTGAACCTGATGCCACCACAAGCTGCTGTTCACAGATCTAGGTGCTCCTTGTGATTTGAGTCTCCTGCTTACATTTGTGGTTGTGAACCTGCTATGCTCACGCCATTTATGGTAGTATATTTTGTGTCACCTTTTCTATTCCATTTGTTTCCTGGGAACTCACTGTGTAACTGCAATTCAGAGAATATGTAGGGACTCCACCCCCGACTACCTAAGTCACTGTACACTGGTCACATTTGTGTCATGTTTTCAGACTACACACTCTTCCTCTCTAATGGAATTTGTTGAAGAAATATAGTTGCCCTGTAGATCTCCTCAGTGTAATGTGGCTGGGATTGATTATGAAGCTGGGCATGTTGTCCTTGGCCTCATAGACATTATTCAAAATACCTTTCCCATATTTTGAAGTTTGATACTACTTTGTTAATGTGAACACTTGCCATAGCAGGCTCTATTAAATATCTCTGTGAATTTAACTGTCAAAACAACTTATGAAGTAGGCACATGATCCCCATTTTACAGGTGAGGAAACAAATGTTCCAAGATTTTGAGTAATTTTATTAACTTTACACAGCTTTCTGGTGCATTTTGAATCTTAAGTTGGATCTCTTTCTCCACAATGTGTGGGCTTACCTCCTTTTCTATTTTGTGCCTCTCTGCTAGCATCTGCAAGGGTACATTTTATTTTTAGTACATCTTCCACTTGATGGTAGGAAACTTGACAAACAGATCCTTAGTGGGAGAGGAAACTCAGTGGCATTTGTCCTTCTCTCTGCTCCTTCTTACCCTGGCAGGCATGAGACTTATCAAGTGAGATGGAGCAGTGGTAGATCCTGACCAGTCCTCACCTGGAATATTTGTTATTATAAAAAAATAGTCCTCTCATTTTTTACAAGTGTAACTTCTTTGCCTTAAAGTTTTGTCTGGGCTTTCTCTTACAGGTTCCTGTGAATGAAGTTGCAAATATTGATGAAGATAATACTACTGCCTTGCTGTCAAACAGTAACAGTCACCTTTTTTTGTATCTCCAATTATAAATGCAATACATACTGTAAAAAGAAAAGAAAACATCATAAATATCTTTATAAAGTAAAAGTCTTGGCTGGTCTCTGGGAGCAGTGACTCATGCCTGCAATCTCAGCACTTTGTGAGGCCGAGGTGGGTGGATCATGAGGTCAGTAATTTGAGGCCAGCCTAGCTGACATGGTGGAACCCCATCTCTGCTAAAAAATACAAAAATTAGCTGGTCTCGGTGGCGGGTGCCTATAATCCCAGCTACCCACTAGGCTGAGGCAGGAGAATCACTTGAACCCAGGAGGCAAATGGTGCAGTGAGCCAAGATCGTGCCATTGCACTCTAGCCTGGGCAACACAGTGAGACTTCATCTCAAAAACAAAACAAAACAAAAAACTTGGTTGGCCTAGTGGCTCAATCCCAGCACTTTGGGAGCCCAAGGCAGGTGAATTGTTTGAGCCCAGAAGCTCAAGACCAGTGTGAGCAACATGGTAAAACCCTCTCTCTACAAAAATACAAAAATTAACCAGTTGTGGTGATGTACACCTGTATTCCCAGCTACTAGGGAGGCTGAGGTGGGAGGATTGTTTGAGCCTGGGAGGCCAAGTTTGCAGTGAGCTGAAATCACACCACTGCGCTTCCATGTGGGCAACAAAGTGAGACCCTGACTCAAAAAATAAAAACACATTAAAATGAAAGTCCCCTTTATTCCCTTCTCTTCAAACTCACTTTTTTTATTTGAAAAAACTGTTAAGAGGTTGTTTTTTATTCTTCTGGCTAAGTTGTATAAATTTCTTTTTTTTTTTTCGAGACAGACTCTCGCTCTGTTGCCCAGGCTGGAGTGCAGCGGCGCGATCTCGGCTCACTGCAAGCTCTGCCTCCCGGTTTCACGCCATTCTCCTGCCTCAGCCTCCCGAGTAGCTGGGACTAGAGTTGCCCGCCACCACACCCGACTAATTTTTTGTATTTTTAGTAGAGACAGGGTTTCACCGTGGTAGCCAGGATGGTCTTGGTCTCGATATCCGGCCCCCTGATCTGCCCACTTCGTCTTCTCAGAGTGCTGGGATTAGAGGCGTGAGCCACCGCCCCCGGCCTGTTCTATAAATTTCTAAGTGATACACATAAAGTTTATTTTAAAAATTACATCACACTACATTAAAATTTACTCTTTCTCCAGGTGTATTCCATCTATCTATCTATCTATCTATCATCTATCATCTATCTATCTATGACAAGGCCTTGCTCTGTCACACAGACTGGAGTTCAGTAGCTCAATTATGGCTCACTGCAGACTCAAACTCTCAGGCTCAAATGATTTTCTAACTTCAGCTTCTGAAGTAGCTGGGAGTACAGGTGCATGCCACTACTCCTGGTTAATTTTTAGTTTTTGTTTGTTTTTTTCTTTAAACAGGGTCTCACTGTGTCACCTGGGCTGGAATGCAATGCATAATCACAGCTCACTCTAGCCTTGACCACTCAGGCTCAGGCAATTCTCCTGTCTCAGCCTCCTGAGCAGATGGGACCACAAATGTGTATTAACACACTTGGCTGTTTATTATTATTTGCAGAGACAGGGTCTCCCTATCCTGCCCAGGCATGTTGTGAACTCTTGTGCTTAAGCAATCTGCTACCTCGGCCTCCCAAATTGCTGGAATTACAGATGTGAGCCACCACAACTTACCCAGCCTTTTTACTTTGTGTAAGAATAGCATCAGTGTATTAAAAATACAACGGAAATTATTTATGGTGTCTTTTCAATTCTTATGCATTAAAATTCTCTTATTAGGGCCTTTTATTAATGGTTACAGTGTATTTTCTGTGAAATTTTACTGTCACACACTGCATGCCAATGATTCAAGATACACGAACTTCATGAATGCACAGTCACAGTAGAATATTTTAGTTATCTAAAAAGTATTTTCATAAATGATATATCAAGTTTATATGCAAGGTAGCCTGGTCTGGTAGCAGGTGCTTGTAATCTCAGTGAAGGCTGAGGCAGGAGAATGGTTTGAACTCAGGAGGCGGAGGTTGAAATGAGCCGTCGTCTCGCCACTGCACTTCAGCTTGGGTGACAGAGTGAGACTCTGTCTCAAAAAAAGAAAAAAACTTTGCTTGCAAGATTTTATGAGTAAATATGTTTCTTATTTTTCTTTACAATTCCATATTACTGTCTCGATTATTTAGAATAGGTTCCAGGGCAGCAGTTGATTTTATTTTGGGTTTTACTTATGTATTATAACTTTGGATGTTATAATTTCCACCTCTGCCTGTACACTTCAAGTCAATGTGGATTTTTAAAAAAATGTTAATAGTACAAACTATTCATAGATTCAACTTCATAATGTTAAAAGCAACGGCAGCTCCTGGTTTAAAAAGGGAACGGTGGAAGCAGCCGGCCATTTTATTTAAAATCGCGTTAGATTTTTCAGATGGATGATAGTTAAGATCATTAAATCCCATTACTGCTTCTAAGATTTCCACAAAATAGCACATTAAATCCTCAGTCCTAAGCAATCACGACAGAGATTCAAAATTGCCTCTCAATGTCAAGGTAAACAGCGCACTATCTTCTCTTGCAATAAAGGTACATCATTTGATATACAAGGGAGCATAGCAGTCAGACACTTACAAGATCGTGCTGTAGAAATAACTTCCATGTTTTCATCCGCCATGTGTATCCTCACCTCTGTCTCCCATGCAGTAACACTATCAGTTTCCTCATCTGTCCTTTCCACTTTCTTTGAAAGAGGATGCTGATTGCAGACAATACATGACAGAGGCATTTCAAATCAGAAAGGAGTGTCTTGAGATATACGTGATTTTAGTTTTAAGTAGAATGTCCTGAAGAGTTTTAGTTACAATACCACCTTCAAGAGGATGGTGGTGAAATTCATAGTAAACATTTGGCAAAATATAGGTTATGAGGCAGCCATCTCCTAGAAACACTTCATCGGGGTTTATATATGAAATGTGAAATATCGTAGGTTTAATCCTGGCACAGAACCAAAACTGAGTGCATTGCACTTGAACAGCTGACCAATCCCCAGCACAGGTCCATATGAAGAAACGGAGAAGAAAGAATCCTTTTAACCACAGAAAGGTCTTCATTTGCCCAAACTAAAAACCAAATTTCACTCAGGAAACTAATGTTGGGTTTAATTAAAATATAAATCGGTCATATGTTTTCAAAATTAAATTATATATGTGTTTGTCTCTATAAATATGTCCCCAACTTTGCTCATGGCTTATCTTCCATATTTTTTGGCTGATTTTCAGTGGTTGTCTTATCTTGTGTGGATGAATAGTCATTGAAATAATCTTAATTTCACAATGTGTTTAATTATAAATCTATACTTCCTTTGTGTGAGAGAAAATCTTTTGTGAACAAAATTTAATTTTTGGAAAGCTTTATAAGTCCATATTTTTCCTTTTAAAAATTGCGATTGTGGTAAAAACACATAATGTAAAATTTACCATTTTAATTCTTTTTAAGTGTATATTTCATTAGCGTTAAGTACATTCACATAGTTATGCAAAAGATCTGTAGAACTTCTATGTCTTGCAAAACTAACATTAAATGTCTTTTAAGACAATTTCCCATTTTACCATCTCTTCAGTCCTTGACTAACACCATTCTAACTTTTTTTTTCCTATGAGTTTGTCTACTTAAGATACCTGATTATGAATGGAATCATAGACTGTCACTTTGTTCCTGGCTTATTTCAGTTAACGTGATATTCTCAAGAATAATCATATAATGTGACTTTTTAAAGACTGAATAATATTCGACTTTGTGTATGTGCCACTTGTTATTAATCTCTTCATTGGTCAAGGGACAGCTGGGTTGTTTCTGTCTTTTGGCTTGTGTTAGTAATGCTGCAATAAATTTGGGTGTGCAAATATCTCTTCCGGATCATGTGTTGTATATTTTAAATACATAGCCAGAATGGGGTTTGCTGGATTGTATAATAATCTCATTTTAAATTTTTTGAAGAGCTTTCATACTATTTTAAAAATAAGTTTGATGTGATAGATTATTGTGACTTTTCTTTGTATTTTTCTAGAAGAGAGTTCTCGAGTATCCTTTTAAATGCCTAGTCATTTCTATGTCTTCTTTGGAGAAAGTCATTTCAAACATGTGCCATTCTAAATCAAGTTATTAACTTTTTTTGTTGTTGAGTTTTAGGAATTTATATATTTTGAAAATTAACACCTACCAAATATGTGATTAGAAAATATTTTTACTCTTTTTTGTTATATGTATGTATGTATGCATATATATAACCCTATACAAGACAGGGTCTTGCTATGTTTTCATGGCTAGTCTCAAACTTTTGGCCTCAAGTGATTGTTCTGCCTTGGCCTCCTAAAGTTGTAGAATTAAAGGCATGAGACACCATGCCTAGCTTTCACCCACTTATTAGGTGACGTTTGTATGGCACTAAATGTTTTATTTGATGTGTAGAATAGTTGAAGCTTAATGTAGTCCTTTTTTTTGGTCGTTGTTCTTTTCCTTGTTGCTTATGAATTTGATGTCAAACTTAAGGAAAGAGTTTTAAGACTTATGTCATAAACTTTTCCCTTATGTTTACTTCTAAGAATTTTATTAGGTTTTATGTTTAAGTATTGAATTCATTTTAAAAACTTTTCTTTTTATATATGATACAAAGGAAGCATCCAACTTTATTTTTTTCTCTGTAAATATTCAATTTGGAAAATTCTTTGTTAAATGGATTCTTATTTTTCTATTGTGTGGTCATGGAAAGCTTATGGAAGATTATTTTATCACATATGCAAGGGTTTATTTCTGGGATCTCTATTCTGTTTCGTCATCTATGTATCTGTTTTTGTGGCAATACCACATTGTTTTTATTTTTGTAGCTTTGTATCATGATTTTGAATCAGAAAATGTAATACCTCTTTGTTCTTTTTAAAGGGTGTTTGGCTAGTCACCTTTTCTAAGCAACGTTTAGAATTATACACAAAAATTCTGCAAAAAAAATACCATTGGGATTTTGACAAAAATTACCTTACATTTTTATATCATCATGAGTAGTACTGACAACATTTTTTTTTTTTTTTGGAGATGGAGTTTTAGTGAGTCACTCAGGCTGAAGGGCAGGGGTGCGAGATGTGCTCACTGCAGGCTCCACTTCCCAGGTTCAAGCAATTCTCCAGTCTCAGCCACCAGAGTAGCTGGGATTGCAGTCGTGCACCATCACGTCTAGCTAACTTTTGTATTTTTAGTAGAGATAGGGTTTTGCCATATTCACTAGGCTAGTCTCAAACTTCTGATCTCAAGTGATCCACCCACTTTGGCCTCCCAAAGTCCTAGGATTACAGGCATGAGCCTCATGCCGGCCCTGACATCTTAACAATATTAAATCACCTGACACTTGAGCAAGACAGTATGAAAGATTTTGCTTAATTTCCTCTTATTTACATATTGGCCACATTTTCTTGCTTTTGAATTCTAGTTTCATTTACATTGTATGGCTTCAGTTTTCTTAAATTTAATAAGACATGTACCCTAACAGAATGTACCATGTGTGATTTAGAATATTGTAGATTTTGCTCCTTTAAATTGGAGAGTTCTGTAAATGCTGGTTGGGTCTATAATGTTCAGGTTTGGCTTTCTTACTGATATTACTTCTGACTATTCTAGTCATTACTGAAAGTGGAGTCTTGAAGTCCACCATTGTTGTGTTGCTATGTATTTCTTGCTTGACTTCTGTCAATATTTGTTTTACATATTTGAAAGACGAGAATCAGTTGAACCTGGGAGGAGGAGGTTGAAGTGAGCCTATCGAGAGATCATGCCACTGCCCTCCAGCCTGAGAGAAAGAAACTCTGTCTCTAAAAAAAAAAAAAGAAAGAAAGATGTCAGTGCTATTTATAGTAATACAAAAATTTAATGTAATTTTTGTCAAAATCTCAATGGTATATTTTTGCAGATTTTTCAAGTTGTATATATGATTTCTAAATTATTGTTATAGATTCCTGGAAAGTTAATCCATCTCACCATTACATAATACCAATCTCTCTCGGCCGGGCGCTGTGGCTCACGCCTGTAGTCTCAGCACTTTGGGAGGCCGAGGCGGGTGAATCATGAGGTCCAGAGATCGAGACCATCCTGGCCAACAAGGTGAAACCCCATCTCTACTAAAAAGTATAAAAATTAGCTGGGTGAGGTGGCGGCGTGTGCCTGTAGTCCCAGCTACTCGGGAAGCTGAAGCAGGAGAATCGATTGAACCAGGGAGGTTGTGGTTGCAGTGAGCCGAGATCGTGCCACTGCACTCCAGCCTGGTGACAGAATGAGACTCTGTCTCCAAAAACAAAAACAAAAACACAATACCAATCTGTCTCTTGTTCATATTTTTTATTTAAAATATATTTTGTTTAGTATAATTATGACCATGGTCCTCCAATTTTAGCTACTCTTTGCATAAAATATATTTTCTTTATACTGTTACTTTCAACTTATTTGAGTCCTTAGAGCTGAAGTGACTCTTGTAGAGAGCAAATTGCTGGATCTTCTTTGTTCTTAATCCATTAAATTATTTATTAATTTTCTTTAAGGTATTTAACTTTTTATATTTGAAGTAATTACTGCATTTAATGAAGTTACTTTATTATTTGTAATTGTCTTCTGTGTTTCTTGTAGATGTGTTATTTATCATTTTTTCTCTTACTGCTTTATTTCTGTTTGTTGATTTTGTAGTGACGTGATTGAATTTCTTTCTCATTTGCCTTTGCATACATTCTACAGGTTTTTTTGGTAATCATCCTGAGAAATAAAGACTTCATAAATCATCTTAAAGTTATGACAATATATAACAACAATATTTCAACTGAATGCAAAGTTGTACCTCTTCACACCCCCACTGTTTTATTAATATCGCATATTATCTTTCCTTATGGTCTATGATCACAAATTTATGAAGATTTTTGCTTCATGTTTTAAACTCCATGACAATATTTTGAAAGTTTTGTGCACCATGATTATGACAGTAGAGATTTCTTTACCTGTTTATATATTTACCTTTAATAGAGAGCTTTCTATTTTCATGTGCTGTTATGATGCTCTGCAGCATCATTTCATTTTTGGACGTGATAGACTCTTTTACACTTCCTTTAGGACTCTTCTAGTGGTTAGTAACACAATCAACTTTTATTTATTTTGGAAAGGTTTAGTTTTTTTATTTCTGAAGTGATATTACTCCAGTTGAAGGTTTTTGTTTGGAAGTATTTCTTCTTGTTTAATTATCTTGTCATGTGGGGATTTCTCAGCTACTTTTTAAAAATAACCTCTTTATTACTTTTCTCCTATATTGTTTTTGTAAGACTCCTTTCATAAATATAATGGTCCACTTGACGATGTGCAGTGCGTCCCATACTTTTTCCTCCATTCTGCTTAAAAAATTTGTTTTCATCACTCAATATTTATAACTACAATGTCATCAATTGTGTAATTTTTTCTCCTTTATTAGTCTGCTTTTGTGACTGTTGATTAAATTTTTAATATAGCTATTATGTTCTTCAGATTCACAATTGTTGGTTTTTAAAAATCTTTTTATTGATATCTCATTTTCTTTATGTATCACTTCTTCTAATATTCTTTTGTTGTTTATGTTCTGTTTTTGTTCATTAAGCAGTTTTTTCTAATCACATTTTATTGAAACCTGCACTGAATGCTAAATGTCCATCTTTACAATAAACAACTACAGTAACGGTAATTCGCACTACACTAAAACAAAACGTACTTCTGATAGCCATTATTTTTCTGTTTGGGACAATTTTAAAAATTTCTCTTTTCTTACAAAAACGGGAATGTCCCTAATCAAAGGACCAAAACAGGACATCTTTTTAAACAAAAAGACAATATTCACAAAAGACTATGAATAGAACATGTAACTAATTGATGCAAATCTAATATAATTTGTTAAAATCAGTCACATCCAATACAGCTGAAGTGTTCTTGTATAAAACACAACGTGAAGAAAAGAAGACTTTATCAATGTCTTAAAAAGTGGGTTTGTTCATAGACAATCTGACAAGTTACCATTAAAAGTGTTTCCTGTGACATAAGAAAATGCAATATTATTTTTCTTGAACACTTTTAGTGCAAGACTTCCCACTAAATAAAATAGCAGAGGATCTGAAACTGAGAAAATATACTTGATTACAAACAGCGTGTAAAACTTAATACTTTTTTTTTTTTTTTTTGCATTATCGGAGGCTTTTACTGAACTTACAACCAACTTGCCCGCTCAGTATGCAGTTCAGATGTGAGAGACGCTTCTCTGTACAGGAGCCGGTACTGTCTTCAATCCTATGTGTGAGGATGTCTACCACAGGCAAACAGTTTACTCCATATTTTCTAGTAATGTGATCTTCCTATTAGCAAAATGCTGTAACCAGTCCCTGTAGACTGAAGGGACTCAAGTCACAAGATGGGGATTTCCTCCTCATGGTTTTTATTTTGATATTTGAAGTCTTGATGCAACATTCTGAGCAGGGTGTTCCTGACCTGCTGTGCCCAAGGGACTGAAAAAGGAAAAAGTTGTATTTATTCTTTGTGATTTGACGCACAGATGAAAAACTAAACACATAATAACGGAAGTTGGTAGTTAATAAATCACATCCTAGTCTTTCAGAGCTTCCGTAAGCAGACGACATCTTCAGTTTTCTAGGTCTTGCAGTTTTAACACTGCAAAACCAATGAGCATATGTCCAGAATCAGCTAAAAAGAGCGTCAGATTCTTTTTCTCTTAGTTTGTCTATTTTTCACTGTCTCTTCTTCAAAAGTGTATCTGAATGATTACCTTCCGGCATTCTCTGTTATTACTCGTTGGGGTGCACTCGATTGTTCCCGTGTTTGAGGGCTGGTTGGGAGAGGGCGCTTGGGAAGGATGTGCCACTGTCGGGAGTTTATGAGTCACCAGGATGTCTCCAGGGAAGATCCCTTCCATGGATGCAGGAAGTCCTCCTGGACCCACGCCCAAGATGCCTGGATGAATTTCTTGCTGGTCTATTTCCCACCAAAGCACAGATGTGACAAAGAATTCCTCGTTCACACAGTTTCTTAAGCTTCCTGGGATGCGACCTGTGATGGCTCGGCGGAGCTCGGTGGCAGCTGTCTCCCTCATCTCCAGTGACACCTGCTGGCTGTAGCAGGCAGTGTGAGGAGTGCAGATGAGATTGGGGCCATCTTTCAACGGACCCTGAGCAAAGCTAAAGGGCTGCGACTCATTCACGTCGAGGATTGCACCTCGTATCCTGCCCTCCTTGAGGGCCTGTGCTAAGGCTTTCTCGTCCACCAGGCCACCACGGGCTGCGTTCACAAGGAATGCTCCCTGCCTCATCTGCTTTATGGTAAAGTCATTGATGAGGTGGTGCTTATGTTCGTTGAGACTGCAGTGCAAGGAGACGCAGTCGCTCTGATACAGCCAATCCTGCAGGGTGTAGACCCTCTGCGTGCCCAGGGACTGCTCGATCCCATCCTGCAAGTAGGGGTAATAAAATATGACGCTGAATCCAAAGGCTGTGGCTAGAACTGCAAAAGCCTGCTGCGTGCGACCCTAGCCGATGAGGTCCAGGGTCTTCCCACGAATGCGGGCCACTCCCGAGGCCACCTCGCAGATCTGCTCCATGTTCTGAACCCGCTTGCCTTCCCACAGTGCCTGGCACAGCCATGTGTTCCTCCGGTACATGTTGAGAATGTGGCAGTTGGTGGAATTGGCTGTCCCTTCCACGGCTGCGGACAGGATGTTTCACACAGCAATTCCAAGCTCTCTGGCAGCCTTGATGTCCACGTTGTCATAGCCACTGCCCACCCCCACGATCACTCTCAAGGACTTGAAATTTGCCAGAACCTCCCTGGTGAGGTGATTGTGTGGTGCATCATGGGGCCCACGGCTCTGTTTAGAACTTTCTCCTGGATTTCCTGCGTGGACTGCATCATAGAAGGCCACGGTGGCCAGGTCCTTCAGGATGGGCATGTCCACAGTGCAGTCACGGCCGACCAGGAACGCTGCCAGTGAGCGGGGGCTTAGGGGGTCTTTAGTGATCTGGCGGCGAATTCCTTCACAAATTCTGTCCAATCGCTGTCTCTTGACTTAGCGCTTATCCACAAGGACCATTCTTTAGGGAACTTTGCAACTCTCATATCAAAAGGTAAAGCAGTCCTCTAAGAACTTAGGGGAACTCGCAGGAGTCTGTGTGCATGATGCCACTATGAACCCAATATAAATTTGTTCACAAACTCTATAGTTCACACGATGGGCTGTCCGTCTCTTTAAGGGAATATAGCTTCATTGGTTCAAAACCATTTAAGGTGATGAAACCCATTTGGCTGCAACTCAGCCACCATCGCGCAGTCAATCAACGAATCTCACCACGACCCCAGGTCTGGAGCTCCTGGAGTCCGCGACCGCTGGGGGTGGAGGCGGCTTCGGCCTGGTGCAGCCAGGTCCTTGCTCCTGCTCTGAGCCTCGGGCGTGGGTTGGGGGTCCACCCGGGTGTCCCGCATGGTGTCTAAGCTCCTCCCTTGCCGGAGCCCTGCGGACTGGAGAAGTGTTCATATCATTAAGGAGCTTTGATAATTATTTTGATTTTCAAAATTATATAATGCAAAAACAACAACAACAAAGAATAAACCTACAAATTTTGACCTTTAAAAGTCAACAAAGATTTTTAAAGATCAATATTTGTAGGTTTATTTTATTTCTTCAATTGGGACATGTTTTCGTCCTTTTCTGTATGCCCTGCAATCTTTTGATGAGATTCAGAAATTTATAAAACAACTGTGTAATGTAGTATGTACAAACTTGCTTACTACAAGATAATACAACAATCAGTGAGGCTGTACATCCTGGTACTTCATTAACAGTGTCTTCAATGTGTCTTCTCTGGGCTCGTGTGTGTATTTTTAAGGTAAAGATATTTTTTCCCATTGTTTTCCAGACACTGTGGTCCTTTGCTTCCGCAGTTGATTGTAGTGTTTGTTTCTCTGAGGCTGTGGTAAGCATGTAACTTCTCTTCTCAGCAGTCATAAGTTATCATTCTCATTACTCTGCCATTTCCTTTAGCATTCCCTGTTTGGGGAGACAGAATCTAGTCATCAGCGGTAGCCCACAAAGCCAAACCTTTGAACATATGTTCCACTGTTCTCATTCTACACTGAGGGATATACTAAAAGTTGGACGTTTTCTCTTGAGCCCAATTGCTGTTCTGGGAAAGAAGAAGGGATGTGGTGAATATAAGCCAGACCTGGTTGCCTCGTACAGCAAGCTTTTCCAACCCGCCTTGTTTTGTTTTTGTTATGGCTCTGTTTTGTTTTAGGTTTTTAGCAGCCTGCAGCAATGGTTTTTGGGTTCTGTGTCTAGTGATAAGTGGAAAAGGGGGATGAGGAAAGCGCCTTACTGGCTCAACCAGAAACAGAAACTAAGAACTCATGGCTGTAGTCTCCCGTGGATGCCCCTGTCCTACAGTAAAGGAAATATCTTTGGAATGTAAAAAGAGAGAGAATAATAGGCAACACCCCAATAGGGAAGAATGAACAAATAACAAAGATGAGAGGTGCAAAGGCCAAGGAGAAAACCTTAAAAATGTGGTGTTGGAAGTTCTGCTTCAAAGAAATTGGTTCTGGAAAATTCTAAATTTACTTCTTTTGCTGCCACAGGTGGAAATTTCCTACCCTATGCTTATTATGCTCTTAAATCTTCTAAGGCTTCTCTGTTCATCCACTAACATTCCAGGGCATTCACAGTGACAGCCAAAGTTCGCCTCTTCTTTCTGCTATTCCCATGAAGCTCTTGTGGTCTGAGTGCTTTTCCATTGTTTTTGGGATCTGAGGAAATCTGCACATTTTGTGAGACTTCTATGTTAAGCTGTCTTGTAAAAATCTGTGCCTCATGTCAGAAGTTTGTGAGAGCAAAAGTGCAGGCATTGGGGTTTGGTTCACATATTTCAGAAACACCAAGGACAAATGTTTCTTCCTCATAATTTTCAGTCCTATTATTTCAAATGTGTTCCTGCAAAAAAATCAGAAAAAAAATTTATCAGAGCCCAAAGCACCTCAGCACATATGATAAAGTTGAATCTTCTATTTCACTTTATTCTTTTTTTCATCTCTGGTAATGTAGGTCAAAAAGTTTTCTTTCCCTTAGTAGAAACTAACTTAGAAATGTGAACTCTCTATGCCAAACATGTCACCTGTGGAATAGTTGATTGTATCTACTCATCTCAAAGAATTTTTAAAGACCTTAATCCATAGAAAAACTTAGAAACATGCCAGGAATAGAACAAATTCTTAACTGTTACATTATTTCTTAATGAGTTATTTTATTAATTAATCTTATATAAAGCTTAGTGGGACTGTGATCTGTACGTTTTCCCTGTCCTGTTTTTACGTATGTCAAATTAGCCTATAACTTTAGCTTCAGGGGTTTCAGAAAACATACTTGAATTTATGTGTTATGTAAAAAGTGAATTGGATAGTATGCACATCACATTAAGAAAAGTTTTAGTTTGTGTCTAAGTTCACTGCATAGAAAAACTTATCATTAGTGTTTCCATTTACTTTCCTCAACATTTATCTGAATGATAGTATAATTTATTTCTAATTGCTTATTATATTGTAGTTTTCCACAGCATATTTTACAATATTCATGTTGTTCCCATATGTAAAAATGTAAGGCTTTTCTTTGCTTTAAAAAAAATAAATTATAGGCCAGTGCTGTGTTTCATGCTTGTAATCGCAGCACATTAAAAGGTTGAGATAGGTGGATCACGAGGTCAGGAGTTCAAGACCAGCCTGGCCAACATGGTGAAATCCTGTCTCTGCTAAAACTACAAAAAATATCGCCGGCGAGGAGCGGTGACTCAAGCCTGTAATCCCAGCACTTTGGGAGGCCGAGACGGGTGGATCACGAGGTCAGAAGATCAAGACCTTCCTGGCTAACACGGTGAAACCCCGTCTATACTAAAAATGCACAAAAATTAGACGCGCGTGATGGTGGGCGCCTGTAGTCCCAGCTACTCAGGAGGCTGAGGCAGGAGAATGGCGTGAACCAGGGAGGTGGAGGTTGCAGTGAGCCGAGGTCTCGCCACTACACTCCAGCCTGGGTGACAAAGCGAGACTCCATCTCAAAAAATTAAAAAAAAAATAAATTATAGCCTTTCCATTTGTATAAAAAGAGGAGAAATATATTAAGAACATAATAAAAAGTGTCTCTAATATCATTGAAATCTTTATTAAAATTTTCTTCTAAATGCTCTTTATGGGAGATTATAATGTATTTGTTGTGCAATTTTGTTACTCTAACCATATGCTAAGAATTCAAAATCTGCTCTTTATGGGAGCCCAGTTATGGTTGAACATGCTAGTTATCTAGAAAGAGTCTTCTTCCGTTGCATGCTTTCTTTATTCGGTATTTCACAGGCTAATGTTTATTTAATTTTATTTTCTAATATTATATATTCTTGTATTTCCTTGTTAGGATAGGCTGCCTTACATTATTTAATTGTGTTTTTAGATTCTGCCTATATATTATAATTTTTTATGACTATATTCAACTGTGTACAGTTGAATATGAATCAGTCAAATATGAATCAACCACACGTCTATTGCCAACATAATTCTCTGTTCATTTGCCTGTATAAACATTACTCATGTTGGTTTGCTGCACCCATCAACTCAACATTTACATTAAGTGTTCTCCTAATGCTATCCCTTTCATAGCCCCCCACCCCCAAACAGGCACTAGCGTTTGATGTTCCCTGTCCTGTGTCCACGTGTTCTCATTGTTTAACTCCTACCTATGAGTGAAAACATGCAGTGTTTGTTTTTCTGTCCTTGTGATAGTTTGCTGAGAATGATGGTTTCCAGCTTCATCCATGTCCCTGCAAATGACATGAACTCATCCTTTTTTAAGGCTGCGTAGTATTCCATGGTGTATATGTGTCACAATTTCTTAATCCAGTCTATCATTGATGGACATTTGGGTTGGTTCCAAGACTTTGCTATTCTGAACAGTGCCACAATAAACGTACGTGTGCATGTGTCTTTATAGTAGCATGATTCATAATCCTTTGGATATATACCCAGTAATGGGATTGCTGGGTCAAATGGTATTTCTGGTTGTAGATACTTGAGGAATTACCACACTGTCTTCCACAGCGTTTGAACTAATTTACACTCCAACCCACAGTGTAAAAGCGTTTTTGTTTTTCCACGTCCTCTCCAGCATCTGTTGTTTCCTGACATTTTAATGATCCCCATTCTAACTAGCGTAAGATGGTATCTCATTGTGGTTTTCATTTGCATTTCTCTGATGACCAGTGATGATGAGCAATTTTTCATGTCTGTTGGTTACATAAATGTCTTCTTTTGAGAAGTGTCTGTTCATATCCTTTGCCCACTTTTTGATGGGATTGCTCATTTTTTTCTTGTAAATTTGTTTAAATTCTTTGTAGATTCTGGATGTGAGTCCTTTGTCAGATGGGTAGATTGCAAAAATTTTCTCCCATTCTGTAGGTTGCCTGTTCACTCTAATGATAGTTTCGTTTGCTGTGTAGAAGCTTTTAAGTTTAATTAGATTTCATTTGTCTATTTTGGCTTTTGTTGCCATTGTTTTTGGTGTTTTAGTCATGAAGTCTTTGCCCATGCCTATGTCCTGAATGGTATTGCTCAGGTTTTCTCTTAGGTTTTTATGGTTTTGGGTCTTACATTTAAGTCTTTAATCCATCTTGAGTCAATTTATGTATAGGGTGTAAGGAAGAAATCCAGTTTCAGTTTTCTGCATATGGCTCGCCATTTTTCCCAGCAACATTTATTAAATAAGGAATCCTTTCCCCATTGTTTGTTTTTGTCACATTTGTCGAAGATCCAATGGTTGTAGATGTGTGATGGTATTTCTGAGGCCTCTGTTTCTTTCCATTGCTCTATATATCTGTTTTGGTACCAGTACCATGCTGTTTTGGTTACTGTAGACCTGTAGTATAGATTGAAGTCAGGTAGTGTGATACCTGCAGCTTTACTCTTTTTGTGTAGGATTTTCTTGCCTATGCAGGCTGTTTTTTGGTTCTATGTGAACTTCAAAGTAGTTTTTTCCAATTCTGTGAAGAAAGTCAGTGGTAGCTTGATGGGGATAGCATTGAATCTGTAAGTTATCTTGGGCAGCATGGTCATTTTCATGATATTGATTCTTCCTTTCCAGGAGCATGGAATGTTCTTCCATTTGTTTGTGTCCGCTTTTATTTCATGGAGCAGTGGTTTGTAGTTCTCCTTGAAAATGTCCTTCACATCCCTTGTAAGTTGGATTCCTAGGTATTTTATTCTCTTTGTAGCAATTGTTGAGTGGGAGTTCACTCATAATTTGGCTCTCTGTTCGTCTGTTATTGGTGTATGGAAATACTTGTGATTTTTGCATATTATTTTGTATCCTGAGACTTTGCTGAAGTTGCTTATCAGATTTAAGGAGATTTTGGGCTGAGACAATGGGGTTTTCTAAATACACAATCATGTCATCTGCAAACAGAGACAATTTGGCTTCCTCTTTTTCCTAATCGAATGTCCTTTATTTCTTTCTCTTGCCTGATGGCCCTGGCCAGAACTTCCAATACTATGTTGAGTGGGAGCGGTGAGAGAGGGAATCGTTGTCTTGTGCTGGTTTTCAAAGGGAATGCTTCCAGGTTTTGCCCATTCTGCATGATATTGGCTCTGGGTTTGTCATAAATAGCTCTTATTATTTTCAGATGTGTTCCATCAATACCTAGTTTATTTAGAGTTTTTATCATGAAAGGCTGTTGAGTTTTGTTGAAGGCCTTTTCTGCATCCATTGAGATAGTCATGAGATTTTTGTCATTGGTTCTGTTTATGTGATGAATTATGTTTATTGATTTGCATATGTTGAACCAGGCTTGCATCCCAGGGATGAAGCTGAATTGATCGTGGTGGGTAAGCTTTTGGATGTGCTGCTGGATTTGGTTTGTCAGCATTTTATTGAGGATGTTTGCATTGATGTTCATCAGGGATATTGTTTTTTTGTTGTGCTTCTGCCAGGCTTTGGTATCAGGATGATGCTGACCTCATAAAATGAGTTAAGGAAGATTCCCTCTTTTTCTCTTGATTCGAATAGTTTCAGAAGGGATGGTAGCAGCTCCTCTTTGTACCTCTGGTAGAATTCAGTTGTGAATTCATCTGGTCCTGGACTTTTTTTGGTTCGTAAGCTATTAATTATTGCCTCAATTTCAGAATCTGCTATTGGTCTACTCAGAGATTCAACTTCTTCCTCGTTTAGTCTTGGAGGTGTGGATGTTTCCAGGAATTTATCAATTTCTTCTAGGTTTTCCACTTTATTTCCGTAGAGGTGTTTATAGTATTCTCTGATGGTAGTTTGTATTTCTGTGGGTTTGGTGGTGATATCCCCTTTGTCGTTTTTTATTGCGTCTCTTTGATTCTTCTCTCTTTTCTCCTTTATTTGTCTTACTAGTGGTCTATCTATTTTGTTAATCTTTTCAAAAAACCGGCTCCTGGGTTGATTGATTTTTTGAAGTGTTTTCTGTAATATTCAATTTTTTTTAATTCTGTTAAAAAATTTTTTTCCTTATATTTATTTTTAGGACAATGTTTTATGAGATTTTGACAAGACTGTGAGTTTTGTTGTTGTGTAGAGTGATCTCTATGCATCTGTTACATCTAACTGTTTTACATTATTTTCATGTCCTCTGTTTTCTTTTTAACATTCTCTCTGGCTTTATTATTAATTACAGAACTGGTGTATTAAAATATTGTTCTCAGTATATTGCAGTTTTTTGTTTATGTTCTGACAAAATATTATTGATTTATTTTAAAATCTTCCTGTGAGGTTCATATATATGTGTGTCTGTATACATAATTAGATAAATACACACAATTATATAAACGTGTATTATATAAATGTATATAATTTTCCTAGGTTTCCAGTGAATAAACTTTTTTATTATTTTGTCCTTTGTTTTCTTTGACAGTTTTAACTTATAGTTTATTTTATAAACTAAGACAGTTATTTAAAAAGTATTTTGCATAATGTGCTCATGACATTGTCTTCATTTCATTACGATTTGCATAAAATTGTTTTGATGCATCTTGCCACTTTTAGTCTGTTTTTGTTACTATATAGTAAGATGGCTCATATCTGTCATCCAAGCATTTTAGGAGATTGAGGTGGGAGGTTAACTTGAGCCCAGAAGTTTGAGACCAGCCTGGGAAACAAAGCAATACCATGTCTCTAAAATAAATAAATAAATAAATAAATAAATTGAATCCCCTGTAGACAGATGTAGTTAGATTTTATTTTATTTTTTATCTCTGTACTCTATTTATGACTTTTGTTTGAGAAGTTTAGTTTGTGAGTAGCTACATAATTTCCTGCATTTGAAGGAATTACTTTTGACACTTTGTGGAGTAAAAGGTAAATATTAAATTTGAACTCAATTGAACATGGACTCAAACAATGGTCACCAAGTCCCGGAACAGGTTGTGTGAGCCCCTTGAAGCCTTCATCCAGCGCTGTTTCAGATAAATCTCTATTTCAATTTATTCCTATATCTTAGTTATTGAAAAACAATAGACAATCAAAAAAACAAGTTGACCTTTTTGTGTTCCTTGAGCCCCGTTGTGAAGAGCCTTCCTGACCGGACTTCATGCCAAATAACTCATTATAAAAAGAGCTGGGGTTCCAGACTGCGCCAAAGCTTCATGAGATCTCACGTTGTCTGTGGACGGATGAGTGGCCAATCTGGAGCCCAGGCTGTTGCTTCACAGTCTCGTGGTGAATCCTCCATAGTTTGGTGAGTTTAAATATATATATATATATATATATCTTTTCCCTTCTCCCCGTCGCATTGCAACTTGCTTATATATTTGCTTATTATATCTGCATTGCCATTTAAGTGGGATAAAGTTTGTTTGAATCACTGGCTGTGTGTGAGGTGCAGCAGGGAGTCCCAGTTGGTAATTGTAATGCTGAGGGAATTTCCCAGCATTGATGATGCTTGCTTACTGCTTATAAGTTAAAGTGTCAATATAGGGACTGGTTGTTACAAGAGAAATGTAAGCTGGAAAAGGAAAATTTTAATCTGACTTCCAGACTGGTCCTGGTACTATGCCAGGCCTGTCTTCACTGATCAGGCTCAAAGCTATCAGCCTATTGCTGAAAAAGCAGCTGTCCGAGTTGCCCAGTCAGGGTAAAACTGAATAACTAGTCAGTTTTCATGGCAGAAGAGGGTAAAAACCCAAATCCTATCTCAAGGATGGGAAGTTAACTCTAATAAAATTCAATGGCCTGCACAAAGTGTAAAGTTCTTTGGCATCCTATGGACTGCAGGGAAACAGTCCATTTTACCAAAGGCTAACGCTAAAATACTAGAATTTGCAGCCCTACCACTGAAAAGGAGGTCCAAAATTGTATTGGCTTGTTTGGATTCTGGAGACATCATATTCCCCAGTTCGGTAACATATTACAACCTCTGCATGCAGTCACTAGAAAACACTATGAATATCACTGGAGAGAGAAAGACAGCGTGGCTTTTCAAGAAGCAAAACAAGCGGAGCAACTGGCCCTGGATCTATGGCCCTTATAGGATGAGTCAACAGAACTGCAAGTAACTGTCCTACATCAACATGCTAATTGGAGCCTTAGGTAGAAACAAGATGGGAAGAAGATACCTTTGGAGTTTTAGACCCAGAAGCTGCCAGAGGCTGGCAAAGCTTATACTCTTTGAGAAGCAGCTGTTGGCCTGCTACTGCGCTTGAAGGAAGCAGAACACCTTTGTTTTAATCATGATGTTTTTATGAGGCCCCAAATTCCTATTATGACTTGGGTCATGAGCTCCCTCAAAACCCATTGGATAGGGTACACTCAAGAATGTAGTATCATAAAATGGAAATGGTACATACAAGACCAGGATAAGCCAGAACTAAAAGCGGTATCATTTTTACATGAAGATGTGCAAAACTTGCCAACTCAGGAAACCACAGGGCAAGTCCTGCATATAGGGAAGGAAATCTCCCCTGCCCAATGGGGCAAATCCTTTAAAGAACTAAGCCCAGAGGATCAGAAACACGCTTGGTTACTGATGGTTCCACCAAATACATTGATGGGACCTGATGCTGGGAGGCCGTGGCTTATAATCCTGTTAAAAACATAAGCGTTTCTGATGAAGGGAGGGGTGTGAGCAGCCAGCTGGCTGAACTAGAAGCCATCCTCCGAACTATTCAGGAGGAGGCCAGAGCAATTTGTTGCTTGTATACCGACTGTTGGTCAGCAGAAAATGGTCTTACTACCTAGTTGCCCGAATGGCAATGAAACAAATGGTGAATAATGAATAAAGAGGTTTGGAGAAAACAATACTAGGAAGATACCTGAATCCTGATGCACATTACTATTATTGCTGTTTTTCATATTGATTCTCATGCATCTCTGCATTCTCTTGACAGACTAAACAGCAGGTAGATCAACAGGCCAAAATTTCCAGCATAAATGCAAACTTGAATGTGGGTGAATGGATTACAACACGTTCAAGCCTGGCGATGAGACACATTATAATGTATGGTGGTATAATTGATAATGATTACCAGGAAGAGTTAAAGTTCACTTTACACAATACCACTCCACATTCTTTTGTTACAAGACTGCAGATTCAGGTTGCTCAATTGTCAGTGGTACCTGGTACCTTGTTAACAATTAACCCCTGAGGAAATCTCTGCCCCAACAGAGGCTACGTACAGAACTGGGAAATTAAGATCCACTGGTATAGGTAGCTTAAATCCTGGAGCGAAAATATGGATACAGCCTCCATCAGATCTGGCCCCTAAGTCTGGTGACCTTGTAGCTATGGGAGCAGAAAATAAAAGGGTAGTACAATTTCCTAAAAATGAAAAACAATATCATGTTCCCCTTCAGTTTTGTTGTTACAGAGAATAACCTGTCTACTAGTAATCAGTACCTGGGTCATCATGTCTGAGGTGGAGAGTGAATTCATCAACTGGGCAGCAACCACTGCAACAGAAGCCAACCGCAGTCAATGCTGGCTATGCATAAAATTGCCAGAGACCACAGGAAATGGACTGCCTTGCAGAGTTGTCCTTGCCAATATTTCTGAATGGCTCTGTCACTACAAATGGGGCCAAAACAACAACACTTGCAATCCAACCTGGACTTCCTTTGCTACTTTAATAACATCTTAATACACTATAATTGTAGTATAACCATTGCTGTCCCCTGGGGGGCCCTCTGGGTATGCAGACCCTATGGGTGGCCTATCTGCCCCCTTATTGGATGGGGAGATTCACTTGGGGGTGCCATTAATTCCATTCACCATCCGGGATAATATTCCCTTCCCCAATAATCTAGATGCTTACAAAGGTAGCTGGTTATGAACGTGCCAGACTCCCTGGTGGTGGAAAACTATCACAGTATTCTCCCTTGCCCCTCGTACAATCCTGCTTCAGCAACAAATTAAAATATTAAGTCTACATATAGTAAAAGCTCCTAAGATAGTAGCACTGGACTTCTGTTGTTATCAGAAGAACTTGTTAAGCTGTGTACTGTTGTGTTGCAAAATCGAATGGCATTAGGTATGTTTACCGCAGCCCAAGGAGGGGTTTGAGTCTTGCTGCATTCTGAATGTTGTGTGTATCCCTGACAGTTCTCGCAGTATTACTCTCCTTGCCGAAGACATGCAAGGACAAGTAAAACAGTTAGAATCTAACCATCAGGACCCCATCATGGACTGGCTGTCAAACTAGCATTGGCGTTGGCCATGGTGGGTGTGGTTTCTATTAATTGTGCTTTTAATTCTCCTCTGCTCTATCTGTAATCTATACCAGTTGTGCCTTCCCCGTATAACTGTAAAAATATTTTCCTATGATTCAGTGTCAAATTGAGGCTGAATGAGGAGGAAAAGTTAAATATTAAATTTGAACTCAATGAACATGGACAGAAACAATGGTCACTAAGCCCTGGAACAGGTTGTGTGAACCCCTTGTGGAATTCATCCAGCACTGTTTCTGAGAAATAGTTATTGAAAAACAACAGAAAATCGCAAAAACAAGTAGGCCTTTTCGTTTTCCTTGAGTCCAGTCACGAAGGGCCCTTGTGAGTGGGCCTCATGCCGAACAAATCGTTACAAAAAAAGCTATGGTCCCAGACTGTGCTGAAGCTTAATGAGACCTCTCCTTGTCTGTGCAGGGGTGGGTGGCTGACTCTGGAGCCCAGGCTGATGCTTTCCTATAGGCAAAGCTCAGGGAACAGAGGAGAGTCACATCAAATAGTTGATGAGTCAAGAGATATGTCACAGGGACTCCTGTATGCAGGGTCCAGACAGGAAATCCACATCGTTTTGGTGCTGAGCCCAGCAATATATTACAATGTCTTCTGAGGGAAGAACCAAGGCAAAAAATTAATGTCACTTTGGTGTTAAGCCCAGTGATACATCACAATTTCCACTGCAGGAAGAACCTAGGCAGAAGAGAATAGTTACATCAGCTAGATGGTGCCCCCATTGATATGTCACAATCTCCACTTGAACAGGAATCAGTCAGCAGAAGCAAGTCACATCACCTGAGTGATGGGTGCAGAGATAAGTCACAATGTCCCCTGTAGGCAGAGCACAGAAAGGAGAGCTGCATGACCTGGGTGTTGGACCCAGCAATATAGCTTATATGGTAGACCCCTGGCAGAAAAATTACGAAACATGGGGCCAGCACCAAGTATATGTTATAATGTCCCCTGTGAGCAGCACCAAGGCAGGACAGGAGACTCGCATCACTTGGTTGCTAGGACAAGTGATCTGCTACAATCTTCTTTGTAGGCAGGGTGCACACACTTTTTCTAGGTGATGAATGCAGAGAGATGTCACAAGGCCCCCTGTGAACAGGGCTCAGGCAGTAGCCATCAATTCCCTAGGTATTATGCCCAGCAGTATGTCACAATATACAAAATATGCAGGGCCCAGGGAAAAGAGGAGAGTCACATCATGTGGGTGCTTGTCCCAGTGATTTGTTACAATCTCTCTTTTTGACAGGACCCAGGCAGAAGAGGGGGGTCATAGGTGCTGGGTTCAATAATGTCAGAATTTTATCATGGGCTGGGCTACGCAGAAGAGTCAAGTCACTCACGAGCTGGGCCGAGATATGTTTCACAGTTATACCTCCAGGAAAGTCCAGGGTTGAGACTGACAATCCTGCACATGTCCCATATCTAGGTGTGAGAGCAAACACATTGTGTTTGTTGGGTCTAAGTGTAGAAGTCACAGTCTCAATGGTGCACTGGATCTGTGCATGGCAGCTTCAGTCTTTCCCGAGGACCGTGGCCCCTTAATGGAGTCACAGCCTCACGTGTTTGCTGAATGTTGGTTTTAGAGTCACTGACTCAAACATGGATCGCATCCACTTATGAGAGTCAATTATTCATCTCTCAACCACCTCCAGGTGTGAGATTTGGAACCTCAACAGTGGGCTGTGTTCATGTGAAAAGATGACAATTTTTACTCTTGGCTCAGAGTAGATATGAGTGTCACAATCTACTTTTGTTCTGGGCCCTGTCAGGACACTCTCTTCACCATATGCAGCCTTTATAGAGTATGCATGAGTGTAACAATTCTCTCTGAAACCTTAAGCAGGCACGGACCCCTCCTTGTACCTTTAGCTTTAAGCCCTGGTATGACAGTCAACATCTTTCTACTTGGATGGGTCCAAATAAGAGTTCTTAACTGCCTATGAGCTGCGTTTAAAAATGAGTCACCATCCCACCTGTGGCTGGATGTTCACATATGAAAGTCACAATCCCAGTTGTGGACTGTGTCTGCATGTGTAATTCAGGACCTCAAGAGTGGGCTCTCTCCACGTGTGATAGAGACCATCCTGAATATTGGTGTGGTGTGCATCTGAGAAGTATAATCTCACCAGTGTGGCGAGCCCTGTGGTGACAATTTCTCTACCATAGTTTACACAATATGCAAGACAGTGGTACTCCTCCGTGTGACGTATCACTGGGCCTTGCACACAGGTAATGTGAGTCTCCTCTCCTGCCTTGGAACGCTCACAGGAGGCATTAGGTCATACCACTGAAGCTGATATTCAGGTTATGTGACTGTCTTTCCTGTGCTCTGTCCATGGGCTTTTGTGACATATTTCTGGGTCCAAAACACAGGTGACATAACTCTCCTGTCTGAACTCTGCCTAGAGAGGGCATGGTGGCATATCTCTGCACCAGCCACTAGATGATGTGACTCTATCTTCTGTCTAGTCTCTGCCTACAGGGTGAATTGTGACTTATCACCCGGCTCAGCATTTAGCTAATGTGACTCTTCCCTTTTTTCAGGTTCTGCCCTCGGGGGAGATTGTGACATATCGATTTGTAAAACACCAAAATGATTTTACTCTTTTGTCTTGGCTCTGCCCTCAGAAGGCTTTGGGATATATTGCTGAACAAGCACCAAGGTAATGTGATTGTCCTACCTGAACCCTGCCCACAGGGAGCATTGTGACATATCTCTGAGCCCATGAACTATTTGATATGGCTCTATTCTCTTACCTGGGCTTTCGCCATGAGAAAGATTGTGAAGTATTTCTTGATCCAGTGCTTAGGTAATGTGATTCTCCTCTCCAGCCTGAGACATGCCCACAGAAGTAAGAGTGACATCTCTGGGCCTAGCCCACAGGTGATGTGACTCTTATCCCTTGTTTCTGCCCAGGGGAGTCATTGTGATGTATCTCTGAGACCATTATAAGAATGATGTGACTCTCCTGTTCTTACTGCGACCTGTCCACAGTGGGGATGATGATGTATCACTTAGGCCAGCACATATGTGGTGAGATTCTTCTCATGCCTGTGCCCTGCCCCCTGGGCTAATTGTGACATATAACTGGGCCCCTCCCCTAGGTTATGCAACATATCCCTGTGATAACACTCTTTGTACCATTTAAGGGCTTTATATAATATAAGAGAGAGTGGTATTCCTCTAAGACCCTCATACAAAGAGAAGATTTAGGACCTACCGATTTTCCAAAGCCTCCCTATGAAAAACAGCATTTCTCTTAGTGGCAGGTTTGAGGTATGAGAGTCATTATTACACCTGTGAGCTGGCCAAGATATATGTTTCAATCTCTCCTGTGGGTACGGAGTGAACAGGAGAGTCACGTCACCAGGATGCTTGGCCTGAGATCTGTCAATATCTTCCCTGATGGCAGGGAACAGGTAGGAGAGTCACATACCTAAGGCTGGGCCAGGGATATGTAACAATGTTTTCTGAGGTCAGAGGCTAGGAGGGGAGTCCCATCACTTGTGTGCTCACAGGGGATATGTTACAATCCCCTCCTGAAATCAGAGTACAAGCAGCAGAGTCAAATCACCTGAATATTGAGCTCAGTGATATGTCACCACACTCCCTGTGGGCAAGGCCATAGCAGGAGAGAAACATCACCTGATTACTGATTACTGGGCCCAGTGATATGTCAGAATCTTTCCTGTGGGCAAGGTGCAGGCAGAAAGGAGAGTCACATCATCTGGTGTTGGAAGCAGAAATATGCTACAAGGCTCACTGTGGACAGAGTTCAGGCAGGAGCCTCTAATCTCCTAGGTGTTAAGTTCAGTGATACGTTACAATGCTCCCTGTGGGCAGCACGAAGGCAAGAGAATAGAGCCACATCACCTATGTTCTAGGTCCAATGATATGTCCCAAATTTATTTGTGAGCTGGGCTTAAACAGAAGAGTCTAATCACTCAGGTGATGGACAAATGTGTATGCTTGTCACAATGACACCTGCAGGAAAGTCCAGATATGGGATGAATCCCGCACATATTCTGGTTTTACGCATGAGAGTGAACACCTTCTGTATGTTTGATCTAAGTACACAAGTCACTATCTCAATAGTGGACTAAATTTGTGCATGGCAGCCCCATTTTCTCTTGCGTACTTTGTCCCCTAATTGAAATCACAGCTTCCTAGGTGTGCTGACTCATGATCTGAGAGTCATCAACACATCTGTGACTCTCAAATATGAGAGTCAATTTTTCAACTTTTCAATCTGCCTTTGGGTATGGGATTCAGAGCCTCAAAAGTGAACTATGATCATGTGAAAGAACAACAATCTTTAATGTTGGCTGGGTGTGCATCCCAATGTCATTATATTACTGTGTGCTGAGCCCTATTAGGACTTTCTGTGTTGCACCTGACGGCTTTATGTTGTATGCATGACAGTCTCAATTCTTTCAGAGATTTTCATGCTGGTATGGACCCATGATCAAACCTGTGGCCCTAAGCCTATATATGAGTCAACATCTTTACAATTGGCGGGGTCCAGATAAGAGAATCATCAGCTTTCTATGCGCTGGGTTTATAACGAAGTTCCCATTCCAACTCTGGCCAGATCTTTACATATGAGATTCGCAATTCCAACTATAAACTGCATTCATGTGTGAAATTCAGGACCTCACCAGTGGGTTCTGTTTATATGTGAGGGTGAAAATCATAATGGTCAGGAGGGTGCAGGGTGCGCATAGGAGTAACAAATTTCACCTGTGTGCTGGGCCCTGTGATAAGACTCTCTACCACCCGAGGGCTTTCTGTAATATATGAGAGAGTGGATGATCTTAGCGAGGAGACCCAGGGTTTTTTTTCATTTCCCTAAGTGTAGCTAGGAGAAGCAGTATCTCTTCTATTGGCTGGTTTGACATATGAATGTCATCATTGCACCTGTGTGTTGTGTTCCAAGATATATGTCACAATTACACCTGCATATAGGAAGAGAGCAGGAGAGTAAAATCAGTTGGACGCTGGGCCAGTGATATGTCGCTTCCCTGAGGACAGGGACCAGGCAACAGTCACATTACCTGAATGTTCAGGCATTGGTATGTTGCAATCCACTCCTCACATTAGGAACCAGGCAGCAGAGACACATCACCTGCATGCTGGATCTAGCAATATTTCACAATCCTCTCTGTGGTCAGGATGCAGGCAGAAGAGTCACATCTTCTTGGTGATGAATGCAGAAATATGTCACAAGCTTCACTGCACGTAAGGTAGAGGAATAAACCTCTTATTCCCTAAGTGTTGGGCCCAGGGATATGTCACAATACCCAAAATATGCAAACCCAGGCAAAAGAGAACAGTCACATTACCTTGGTGTTAGGGTCAGTGATATGTCACAATCCCCTCTTTTGGAAGGACCCAGGTAAGAGTGGAGAGTCACATCGCCTAGGCAATGAATAGAAGAGTATGTCATAATACCCCTGTTGGCAAGACCTATGCAGAAGAGTCACATCACCTATGTGTTCAACCCAGATATATGTTACTGTACACCATGTATGCAGGGCCCAGGCAAGAGAAAAGGCCACATCACCTCGGTTCTGGGCCCAGCAATATATCACAATTCCCCCTAAGAGGAGGTAACAGACAGCAGAGTCACATCACCTAGGTCTGAGGAGCAGAGCTATATGGTAGTGCCCTGTGTGTGTGGGCCCAAAAATAGAGGAGAGTTACATCACCTGAAGACTGTACCCAGCTATAAGTTTCAGTCACCCCTGTGGGCAGCACCCAAGCATGAGAAGAGAGTACCATCATGTAGGTGCTGTGCCAGGCTGTATTTCACAATCTCCACTATGGATAGGTTTCAGGGGGAAGAGGAGCATTACATTATCTAGTTGATGAGTCTAGAGATATGTCAAAATGACCCCTCTGGAGACACCAGGTTGCAGAATCACATGACCTGTGTGCTGGGTCTAGGAATAACCCACTCTCCCTTCTGTAAACATGGCCACGGCAGAAGATGAGGGTCACATATTTAAGGTGATGAACGCGGAAAGATTTCACAAGGCTCCCTGTAGGCAAGACCCAGGCAGGACTTTCCCTTCCCTCAGTTGTTGGGAGGAGAAATACATCACAATGTGGGGCTCAAGCAGAAAACAAAAGAAATATCCCCTATTTTCTGGGCTCAGAATTATGTCACAATCTCTCCTATGGGCAAAGCCTTTGTTAAAAAAGGAGAATCTTGTCAAATAGTTGATGGGCTCAGAGATATGTCCCAATGCCATATGTTACAAATTGCTGTAGGCAGGCTTCAGGCAGGAGACTCACCTTGGTGTTGGGCCCAATAATGTGTCACAGTGCTTTCTGCTTGCAGAGCAAAGTCAACAGAGTAATGTCACCGAGAAGTTGGACCCACCAATGTATCACAATCTCCTTCCAAACAAATCCTAAAAAACAAAAGAAGAGTAATATGAGCTAGGTGCTGGGCACAGTGATATGTCACAATCCTTTCTTTAAGCAGGGACTAGGCAGGAGAAGAAAATCACACCACATGGGTGATGGGCTCATAGATATTTCACAATGTCCCCTTAGGCAAAGCTCAGGAAGGAGAGGTAGATCATCTAGGTTTTGGATGCAACAATATGTCAAAATGGCCATTGTGGACTGGGCACAGGCAGAAGAGTCACATAACATGGATGTGGGACCCAGCAATACATCACAACACCCCTGTGAGTAGCACTAATGCAAGACAGAAAACTTACATTACCTAGGTGCAAGGCCAAGTGATATGTCCCAATGTCCCCTGTGGGCAGCACCAAGGCAGGAGATAAGAGTCACATCATCTAGGTGCTGGCTTCAGTGATATATCAGAATCCCATCTGTGAGCTGGACACAGGAAACAGAGCTAAAACACTCAGGAGCTGGGCAGAGATGTATGTCACAATCCCACCTGCAGAAAGCGACAGGGATGAGATGAACAACTCCACACATGTCCGGATTCCAGGTATGAGAATTTGTATGTTTGGCCTAGGTACAACAGTCCCAATCTCAACAGTGAACTGGATTCATAAATGAGTCTTCTCTGGCTGAGAAGAACTTCTCCCCTTAGGAGAGTTACAGTCTCACAGAAGTAATGAATTTTGGTTTGAGAGTCACCCACCTACCTGTGGACAAGATCCATATATGAGAGTCAATTTTCTCTTTCTTTCTTTCTTTCTTTCTTTCTTTCTTTCTTTCTTTCTTTCTTTCTTTCTTTTCTTTCTTTCTTTCTTCTTCTTCTTTCTTTCTTTTTTCTTTCTTTCTTTTTCTTTCTTTCTTTCTTCCTTCCTTCTTTCTTCTTTCTTCTTTCTTTCTTCTTTCTTTCTCTTTCTTCTTTCTTCTTTCTTTCTTCTTTCTTTCTCTTTCTTCTTTAATTCTTTCTTTTCCTTTCTTTCTTTCTCTTTCTTTCTTTCTTTTCCTTCCTTCCTTCCTTCCTTCCTTCCTTCCTTCCTTCCTTCCTTCCTTTCTTTCTTTCTTTCTTTCTCTCTCTCTCTCTCTTTCTTTCTTTCTTTCTTCTTTTGGTCCCTTGAGACGGAGTCTCACTCTATCGCCAGGCTGGAGTGCAGTGGGCCGATCTCGGCTCTCTGCAACCTCTGCCTCCTGGGTTCAAGCAACTCTCTTGCCTCAGCTTCCCGAGTAGCTGGGATTGCAGGTACGTGCCACGATGCTCAGCTAATTTTTGTATTTTTAGTAGAGATGGGGTGGCCAGGCACAGTGTCCCATGCCTGTAATCCCAGCACTTTGGGAGGTCGAGGTGGGTGGATCACCTGAGGTCAGGAGTTTGAGACCAGCCTAATTAATATGGTGAAACCCCGTCTCCACTAAAAATACAAAAATTAGCTGGGAATGGTGGCATGAGCCTGTAGTCCCTGCTACTTGGGAAGCTGAAACAAGAGAATTGTTTGAACCAGGGAGGCGGATGTTGCAGTAAGCCTAGATGGTGCCACTGCACTCCAGTCTGGGTGACAGAGCAAGACTCTGTCTCAAAATAATAATCATAATCATAATCATAATCATAATCATAAATAGTAGAGAGACGTGGTTTCACCATGTTGGCCAGGATGGTCTTGATCTCCTGATCTCATGATCTGTCCGCCTCGGCTTCCCAAAGTGCTGCGATTACAGGCGTGAGCCACTGAGTCACGCCGGTTGTGCCCATTTTTGAGGATGGTAACTTTTATTGTCACCAGAGTGTGCATGAGTGTTAGAATCTCACCTGTTTGCTGGGCCCTGTTAGGACACTATGTACCTCCTGTGGACCTTGTAGAGTATGCATTAAACATAATCCACTCTGAGGTCTTCATGCTGATATGAACCTATGATCATACCTGTGGCCATAAGTCCAGGTATGAGAGTCAACATCTCTCCAGCTGGCTGGATTCAGATAAGAGGATCTTTACTTGGCTGTAAACTGGGTTCAGAAATAAGTCACTATCCCAACTGTGACTGGATGTTCACATGTGATAGTTACAATTCCCGCTGTGGACGGCATTCAGGTATGAGGTTTAGACCTCCCTAATCACCTCTGTTCCTGTGTAGGAATGACAATTCTGATGATTGGTGGGTGTGCACACAGAGAACACAATCTCACCTGTGTTCTGGGCCCTGTGATAACACTGTACCATCTGAGTGCTTTATAGGATATGCAAGAGTGCTTACTTTCTCTGACCTTCATAGTAAGAGAAGACCCATAATTTTGCAAGTTTTGTTAAGCCTGGCTGTGAGAGAAAGTATCTCTGCTATTGGTTGGTTTAAGGTATGAATGTCATCATCACACCTACATGCTAGGCCAAAATATATGTGACAATCTCACATTTGGGTAGTCAGAAGCAGGAGAGTCTCATCACCTGGGTCTGTGTCAGGGACATGTTGCAGTCTTCCCTGAGGACAGGGACAAGGCAAGAGAGTCACATCCCTAAGAGTTCTGCCAGGGATATGTTCTTGTTCTCTCCTGAAAGCACGACACATGCAGCAGAGTCACCTCACCTGGGTTCTGGGCCCAGTGATATGTCACAATTTTCCCTGTGAACTAAGCACAGGCAGGTGAAACACATCACCTGTTTGCTGGGCCCAGAAGTATGCTACAATTTTTCTTGTGAGCAGGGTTCAGGCAGAAATGGGGGGGATCATATTTTCTAGGTGATAAATGCAGAGCTATGTCACAAGGCCCTCAGTAGTCAGGGTCTTGGCAGAAGCTTCCTATTGACTAGGTGATTGGCCCAGTGATACATCACAATAGCTAAATTATGTGGGGCCCAAGGCAAAGAGGAGAGTTGCATCACCTAAGTGATGAACAAAAAGATACTTCATAGTACCCATGGGGAAATGGCCCATGCAGGTGAGTCACATTACCTACGTGTTGGACCCAGTGATATGTCACAATATACAATAAATGTAGGGTGCAGCCAAGAGTGGAGAGTCAAATAGCTCAGGTGCTGGGCCCGGTGATACATTGTAATCTCTCTTTGGTCAGAGCCCTACAGTAGAAGAAACTCAGTTCACCTCGGTGCTGAGGTCAGCCATATGTCACAATACCCCTGAGAAATGAGCCCAGGCAAAGAGTGAGAGGCCCACAGATATTTTGCAATGGCTCCTGTGGGTAGCGCTCTGTAAAAAGACAGTCACATTACCTAGAGTCTGCCCGCAACGATTTGTAACAATCCCTGCTATAAACAGGTAGCAGTCAGGAGAAGTGAGTCCCATCACCTGGGTGGTCAGTGTAGAGATATGTCACTATGCCCCCTGTAGGCAAAGTCTAGACAAGAGTTACATCACCTGGGTGTTGGACCCAGCAATATGTCACAATGGCTCATGTGGGCAAAGCACAGGACAGAGTCACATAACAAAGTGCCAGGACCAGTGTTAGGTCAGGATACCCATTATGGGCAGTGCCAAGACAGGAGAATAGAAGCATATTAATTAGATGCTGGATTCAGAGATATATCACAATCTCATCTGTGGGCTACACCCAGGCAAAAATGTCAAATCACTCAGGTGCTGGCTAGAGGTGTATGTCAGAATCACACCTGCAGGAAGGTCCATGGATGAGATTAACAATCCCACATAAGTTCCGGTTCTGGGTATGAGAGTGAACGCCTCCTGTACGTTGTATCTATGTGCATAAGTCACAATCTCAATGGAGGAATGGGTTTTTTTCCATGAGAGCCTTAATCCCTTTTGAAAACGGAGTTATCTTAGTGGACTCACAGCCTCACAAGTGTTTTGGATCTTGGTCAGGGAGTCACAAACCCACTGGCAGACAATATCCACTTTTAAGAGCCAATTTTCCAACTGTTGACTGCCTCTGGGTGTGAGTTTCAGAACCTCAATTATGGTCCATGTTCGTGTGGGAGAAACAATTTTGACAGATGGCTGGGCTCAGGCAGGAGACTTTCATCCTGCAGGTTTTGAGACAAAGGATACATCACAATACCCAAAATATGCTGGGTGCAGGCAAAAGAGGAGACTCATATTAGCTGGTTGCTAGGTCCAGTTATATGTCACCACCTCCCTTTTTGGCAGGGCTAAGGAAAAAGAGGAGAGTCAGAGCTAAAGAAATGTCATAATGTCCCTGTGGGTAGGGTCTATGCATAAGAGTTGCATCACCTAGTCATTAAACCCAGCCGTATATTAGAATACATAATGTATACAAGGCCCAGGCAAGAAAGGAGAGAATATCACATAGGTACTGTGTCCAGCAATATGTCACCATACCCCCCAGAGGGGAGGCTCCAGGCAACAGGGTAACATTACCTAAGTGAAGTGCCCACAGAGATGTTTCAATGCCCCTGGTGGGTAGGATTTTGAAAAACGAGAAGTTACAGAACCTAGGGAACAGGCCTAGGTATGTGTCACATTCATCTCCAAGACGGAGCCCAGACATGAGAGAAAAGTCACATGATGTAGGGCATGTAATATGTCACAATCCTTATGTGAGCAGGCCCTAGGAAGAAGTAGAGAGTCACATAGTCTAGATGATGGGCCCAGAGGCATTTGACAATGACTCCTGTACGTAGGGACCAGGCAGAAGAATCACATCACCCCTGTGCTGTTCCCAGTTATAAGTCACACTTCCTTCTGTGGGCATGACCCAGGCAGAGAGAATTCACATCATCCCAGTGCTAGACCCAGGGATATGTCACAATCTGTCTTATGGGCAATGCTCAGGTAAGAGAGGAGAGTCTCATCAAATAGGTGATGCACCCAGAGGTATGTCACGATGCCTTCTGTGAACTCGATCCAGGCAGAAGATTCACATCAACATCAACTTGGTGCTAAGCCCAGCAACGTGTCACAATCCCTTCTGTGTAAAGGGACCAGGCAGGAGAAGAGAATCACATCACCTGGCTGATGAGCACAGAGATATGTCACAATGCCCCTGTAAGGCAGGGCCCAGGCAGTTGGGTTACATCACCTGAGTAGTGGACTCAGCAATATTAACACAGTGTCCCATATGGGCAGTGCACAAGCCGGAGAGTCACATAACCTGGATGCGAGGCCAAGCTATATATAACAACGCTTCCTGAGGGCAGCGCCAAGGCAGAAGAGGAGACTCACATCACCTGGGTGTAAGGTCTAGCGATATGTCAAACTGCTCACTGTGGGCAGTGCCAACGAAGGAGAATAGAGTTACATCCTCAATGTGCTGGATCCATCAATATGTTAATATCCCATCTGTGGGCTGGGTCCATGCGAGCCCGTCAAGTCACTTAGGTGCTAGGCACTGGGAAATTTGACAATGGAAGCTGCAGAATGGTCCAGGAATTAGATTAACAATCGCACAGCTGTCTCAGTGGTAGGCATGACATTCAACACCTCCTGTATGTTGGGTCTAAGCCCACGAATAACCATCTCAACACCAGACTGGATTTGCGCATGAGAGCCTCAATTCCTCTGCAGACTGACTTGTGTTCCCGTGAGAGGATGACAATAGTTACTGTTGGCTGGGTATGCATATGAGTGTCACAATCTCACCTGTGTGCTCGGCCCAGTTAGCACGCTCTGTGTACTGCCCAATGGCCCTATACTGTATGAATGAGAGTCGTAATCAACTTTGAGACCTTCCTAATGGTAGGGACCCATGATCATACTTGTAACATTAAGCCCAGGGATGAGAGTCAACATCATTACAATTAACTATGTCAGGATAGGAGACTCATCCCTTGCCTATAAGCTGGGTTTAGAAACGAGCCACCATTTCAACTCTGGTTGAATGTTTATATATGAACACAGGCCTAGCACCAATGTGATGTGAGTCTTTGGCCTAGACACTTCAAGCAGGAGGCAATGTGACATATCTCTGGGTCTATCAACTATTTGATATGACCTTCCTTTTTTACCTGAGCTTTCCCCATAAAAGAGATGTGACATATGTCTAGACCCAGCACCTGGGTGATGTGGCTCTTCTTTATTGACTGAGCCCTGTGTATTTTGGGTATTCTGACATATCCCTGTACCTAACTTCTGGAAGATAAGAAGATCCAACATGGGCCCTGCCTAAAAAGTCTCTTGTGACAAATTTCTACATGAATCACCTTGGAGATTTGACTCTTCTCTCTTACCTGAGCTTTGCCCATAAGAGAGATTGTTACGTACCTCTGCAGCAAGCACCTAAATGCCGTGACTCTTCTTTCTTGCCTGGGTCATGCCCACAGATGAAAGGTGGCTTATCGCTGTGTCCAGCACACCGGTTATGTGATTATGCTGCCTGATCTCTTCTCACAGGAGCTGTTGTGACAAATCCCTGGGCCCAGAAATTATTTAATATGACTCTCCTCAATGACCTTAACTTTGTGCATGGGATAAATTGTGACATACCTCTGGATCCAGCACCTAGGTGATGCGACTCTCCTTTTCTGCGTGGGCTATGCTTACAAGAAGGAGGCTGACTTATTGCTGTGTTGACAACTGATGTGATACCTCTGTTCTTGTCTTCCTAGATTTTAAGAATTTAAACAAGAGACACAAAGAAAAAAAGTACAGCATAATTTATTGGAAAAGAAAATATTTGAAAGTTAAGTGCAGAATACAGTACACCCTGAGAGAGATACTCCAGGGCGGACTGCTCATAAGAGTGAGACAGCGTGGACTGTCGCTGGAGAAACCCCTTTATGGCAGTTTTACATTATTATTAATAAGGAGGAGGGAAGAGGAGTTGCTAGTAAACATGTTCTCTGTGGTATTCGGGGTGCATATGCGCAGTAGCTGTACATGCTTGTTCATATGTTGCATGTCTCGTTAGCATCTTATATTTCCACCCAGGAGTGTATTTCTGTGTGTTTGTTTGTTTGTTTGTTTGTTTGAGACAGAGTCTCGCCGTGTTGCCCAAGCTGGGGTGCAGTGGTGTGATCTCTGCTCACTGCAACCTCTGCCTCCTGAGTTCAAGCCATGCTCGTGCCTCTGCCTCCTGAGTATCTGGGATTACAGGCATGCACCATCATACCCTGCTAATTTTTGTATTTTTAATTTAGACGGGGTTTCTCTATGTTGGCCAGTTTAGTCTCGAGCTTCTAGTTTGAAGTGATCCATCTTCCTCAGCCTCCCAAAGTGCTGAGAGTAGAGGTATAAGCCACCGTGCCTGGCTAGGGGGTGCATTGTTTGCTATTAAAATAAGCAAAATTTAAGTTTGAGGGCAGGTGAAATCAAAATACACATGCTCTCTAGAACAGAAAGTCCTTAATGAGGATAACTTTGCTCGAATAAGCCCAATTACAATGCGAATGCTACGGCTTATTGTGTTGGCTGTACAGTCACCATGGTTTCTCTATCCCGAGATCATGGTCATTTTCTGTACTATCTATTCTGCCTCAATTTCCCCCTAAGAGATTTTAGGGCAATAACCATATTGGAGGTTGAGGGGTTAGACCACTTTTTCTGGAGCTGTTTCCTGCTGAGTGGGTGTTACTTCTGCCTAGCCTGGGCCTTAAAGTTTCTTCCTGTGTGATCTAACAGGGTGTAAACCATGTCGTTCGTGGAACCAGTGGGAAGATGTTGGCAGCCAAAGATTGAAAGCCTTGCAAACCATCATGCAAACATGGAGCTGCCACAAGCAACATAGCAGGAAATCAGTTAACATTTTAAACAAAATTGGAACAAAAGTAGAAGTTGAAAATATAATAATGACGGGTACTATTAAAGAGAGCAAGGCAGGCAATGGACATTGCTTTCATGTTCCCATGGAAGTTCCTAGAGATTAAATTTTGTCTGCCTGGGTGATGATATTATTAATATTTTCTTGGAATAAACCAGACTGATTGATCTCAAAAAACAGCATTCTTCTTTTAGATATAAACCTGTTCCTCTTTGCTTGGCTGGGAGAAGATCCCAGGCTCTTTGATTTTGTTGGAATACAGTGGCCATGGAGTCCAGACGTTGTTGAAGTCTATTGAGGCCCTCTGCTGCCTGTTGGGGACACACTGAGATTTTCTGAGATAGTTTGTACTGGATTCCCAAGGATCCACCTTATGGTGACATTTGTGCTGCAAAAGTATTCTGCTTTAAAATGGTGAAAGCAGCAAAAGTTTTAAGTCTTTTCTATTTTTCGCAAATAAGAAAAAGTTTTGTGCAGCTGAGTTGGCAGCAGTCATTGGATCCATTTATGGATGGTAAAGTTGAATGGTGGTCAAAGTTAGAGACTAGAAGGCTTGAGTAAACGCGCTGAAGTTGTCTGAGAGCCATCAGAGCTGTTGCTTACATTGGATTAGATCATTTATTGGGAAGAGAACAAGCACTCTGATGGTCCTCTCTCCATTTGAGACTTTCTGTAAGCGGATCAAATTCTCTGGCCCTGCATGGTGTGAAGCTCCACTGTGAGTAACTGCAGCTGGACTGGTCTCTATTGTAACTGGCAAAGGCTGATAGAGGAGCATAAGGAGGAGATGAAACAAGCTTAGATTCTACAGAAGACTCTGATAGTGTGGGGACGCTGGGGATTCTAAAGCAGGTGTAGGCCTCTGAGGGCCCCTATCTGGAGCTGGTATTAGGCTGTGGGGTCTGGGGTCCCTTGCCCATAAAACAAATGATCTTCTAATGGTTCTGAGGGGCTTTGTGGCTTACTAGGCTTTAGCCCACAGGTGCTGCATAGAGCTGGGTTTTGTTGTCGGGCCAGAAAGTCTTGCACATAGGATACTTCAGACCATTTTCCCTGATTACTACAGAAAAGATCTAGCTGTATGATGGTGTTAAATTTCACAGTCTCATTCTCCAGCCATGTTTTGTCAGCTAATCTGTATGCAGGCTAAATAGTTTTACAAAAGAAGATAATTGTTTTTTTGCTTCATTTAGCCAAAAGCTGTTTCAATTTTTAAATATACATCCCAGGTGTGTTTCAGTGACAGTAGAGGAAGTGATTCCCATGGTGCCGAGAGAATCCTGCAAACGACAGAACATGTACTAAAGTCCAGGAGGCTGTGGGCAGCCCCATGAGCCAAGTGGAACCACCAAGTTGTCCAACTCATCCCCTTGAAACCCCATTAACTGAAGCTCTAGGAGGTCATAGGCATTTGCCATGCACCGTCCTAGCTCTCACCAGCGCTGGACATCTCCAGCCCTGCCGAGATGACCCCCACTGCTCGCTGGGGAGCAGATGTCTGGCTGACAAGCCTTTCCCTAATTCAGTGGTTTGCCATTTATGATGCCCAATTATAACACCTGCAATGCTCAGATTCAATCCCTATGACTGGGCATATCCATGACTGTGCATCTTTTGTTCAGCAAAGAAAGCCTGTTGAAGAACAATTTCAAGGAGCTGGGAAATGCATAAAGCCTAAAGGGACAGGGTTTCCCCAGAACTTTAGTGAAACAGTGCTGGAAGAACCAGCGATAGTTAACCAGGTAGTCTGGAAGTGCCACAGTATTCACGGCAAGTAAAGGGAAAGTGAAATCAGTGAAGCGGACAGACCTCTCTCCAGGCCATGGCAAAAGAAATGTTGATGGCTGATGTAATACCTTGATTCTTATTTTCTTAGTTTAAAAGAATTTAAACAAGAAACACACAGCAAAAGAAGTACAGCATAGAGTAATTTATTGCACACAAAAAAAGAAAAGACTACTTTGAAAATTAAGTGCAGAATAGACGGTACATTCTGAGAAAGAGATTCCAGGGCAGGCTGCTCATAAGAGTGAGACACCATTAATTGTTACTGGAGAAACCCTCCTTCTGGGGGTTTTGCACGATTATTCATAAGAAGGTGGAAAGAAGTGTTAGTGTAAGCATGTTTTGAGTGGTCTTCTGGGTGCACATGTGCACTAACTGTACATATTTGTGCATACATTGCATGTCTCATTAGCATCTTAAGTCTCCACCTAGGAATGTGTTTTTACTATTAAAATGAGCAAAAGTTCAGTTTGAGGACAGATAAAATCAAAATGCACATGTTCTCTAGAAGTAAAAGTCCCTACTGAAGATAGCGGGTTTCAAACGACCCCAAGTGCTCCACATCTTAAATGTCGCTCCAACAAAGCTGGAACACTATCTGCTCCTGAGGGATCCGGTCCCATTTGTGTTTCTGAGACACTGGCAAGTCAGGAGTGACTTGAGATGAGACCGATGATTTCAAGTGTAAAATGCCTAAATAGTCAGCAGCTTCAGGTTTCATTTTGGAGCTTGTCCACTTAAATGGGTTGATGAAAATGGCTCACAAGACTCATGCCTCGGAAATGAGGTTTTCTCCTTTGCTCTTAGCAGATTTTGTGCAACCCAATAATTAACCTTCCTGATGCCTCAACTTTCACATTCGTGAAAAAGGCGCCATTGAGAGTGACATTTCCAGGAAGCCACAGACCTTGTCACCCCCTACAGAATTCTGAAGCTGTTCATAAGCAGGCCACGTGGAAGATTTCTCTCAAAAGCTGTTGAGCATGAGGCTTGGCTAGAGAAAAAAGAGGGCTGCGGCACAATGGACAGTGTCTCAGACATCAGGACAGTTTCCACAGCAGTTTAGGAAAGAAGGCAGCGCCCTGGGCTGCAGAAGGCGCAATGCTCTGGAAAGAACCCTGGGTGCAGCTGAAAGAGGAACTTGAGAAGGATAGGGCCAATCAGTTGAGGACAACCCGCCCGATTTGGGCAAAGGTAAGGTGCCTATGTAGGGTAATACCCTCCTCAATGCTCAGCGCAGACCTGTCCTCTAGGTCCACCTATGTACTCATTCTCCTTGGCAAAGAGTCGGCATAGCATAAGAACTCAGCAGTGCTTTGGACACCGGGAAGTCCACACCGCTCTGCCCCTCCCTCCAGGGCTATGCACCCCGGGTCCCGGTACATGCTGTGATTATAGTTCTGAAGCCTACCGACAAACAGGCTGAGAGCAGTTAACAGACTACAGCTCCCAGCATATTAGGTGGGGCGTGTACCACTCTGCCCCTTCTTCCAGGCCTGTACCTCGCCCCCGAGACTGGCACATGCTGGGATTGTAGTCCTGTAGCCCTTTGACCAAAGGGCTGGGAGTGTTTATAAGAATACATCTCCCAGCAAGCCGAAGGAGACGCACACAGCCCCGCCTCTTTCTCCACTGACGGGCCGTGTCCCTGACCCCAGTGCATAATGGGATGGTAGTCCTGCAGCCCTGTGACACAAGTTCTGGGAGTCTTTATGAAACTACATCTCCCAGCAAGCAGAAGGAGGCATCCACAGCCTAGACTTTTCCTCCAGTAATGCGCACTCTCCCTGAGCCGGGTGCATGCTGGGATTGTAGTCCTGCAGCCCGGTGATGAGAGGTCTGGGAGTGTTTATGAGACTGCAACTCCCACCAAGCCCAGAGAGGCTTGCACAACCCTGCCTCTTCCTCCAGTGACGCGCACATTCCCTGCGCCCGGTCCATGCTAGGATTGTAGCGCTGCAGCCCAGTGACCAAAGGGCTGGGAGTGTTTATGAGACTGCATCTCCCAGCAAGACCAGCGAGGTGTGCAGAGCCTCGCCCCTTTCTCCACTGATTAGCGCACTCTCCCTGATCCCGATGTATGCTGGGATTGTAGTGATGCAGCCCAGTGACCAAAGGGCTGGGAGTGTTTACGAGAATACGTATCCCAAAAAGCATAGCGAGAACAGCACAGGTCCACCTCTTCCTACAGTGACGCGCGTTGTCCCTGAGCAGGATGCATGCTGGGATTGTAGTCTTGAAGCCCTGTGACCAAAGGGCTGGGAGAAATAAAGAGACAACATCTCCCAGAAAGCCCAGCAAGGCGCTCACACGCCTTTCTCTTCCTCTAGTGAGGCGGACTGCCCCGGCGCCCCGTGCATGCTGGAATTGTAGTCCTACAGCGATGTGATGAAAGGGCTGGTAGTGTTTATGAGACTACCTCTCCCAGCAAGCCCAGAGAGGTGCGCACAGACCTACCTCTTCCTTCAGTGACTAGTGCACTCTCCCTGAGCCAAAGATATGCTGAAATTGTACTGCTGCAGCCCTGCGACCAAACGACTGGGGTAGTTATGAGACTGCATCTCCCTGCAAGCCCAGCGAGGCACGCACAGCTCCACGTCTTCCTCCAGTGATACACACTGTCCATGAACCCGCTGCATGCTGGCATTGTAGTCCTGCAGCCCTGTGACCAAAGGGCCAAGAGACCACATCTCCCAGAAGACCTAGGGAGACGCACACAGCTCCGCATCTTTTCCCCGTGTCGCATACTGCTTTGATCCCGATGCATCCTGGGATTGTAGTCCTGTAGCCCTGTGACAAAAGGTCTGAGAGTCTTTATGAAACAACATCTCCCAGCAAACGCAGCGAGGTGCGCACAACCTGCCCCTCTTTCTGCAGTGATGTGGACTCTCCCTGAGCCCCGTGCATGCTGGGATTGTAGTCTTATAGCACTGTGACCATAGGGCAGGGAGACGCCATGGGACTACATCTCCCAGGAAGCCCAGCAAGGCGCACACTGCCCTGCCTCTTTCTCCTTAGACTAGCGCACTGTCACTGAGCTGGGTGCATGCTAGGATTGTAGTCCTGCAGCCTTATGACCAAAGGGATGGGAGTGTTTATGAGAATACATCTCCCAGTACGCCCAGGAGGTGCACACAGCCCTGCCTCTTCCTGCAGTGATTAGCGCACTATCCCTGAGCTGGGTGCATGTTGGGATTGCAGTCCTGGATCTCTGTGACCAAAGGGCTGGGAGCGTTAATGAGACTACATCTCCCAAAAAATCACAGCTAGAAGCGCAAAGCCCTCCCTCTTCCTCCAGTGACGCGCGCTGTCCCTGAGCCCAGTGCATGCTGGGGCTGGAAGTGTAGTCCTTCAGCCCTGTGATGAAAGGGCTGGGAGGTTTTATGAGAATACAACTCCCAGCAAGCCTGGCGAGTAGCACACAACCCCGCCTCTTCCTCCACTGACGCACAATTTCCCTGAGCCCGGTGCTGGCTGGGATTGTAGTCTTCCGCCTCTTCCTCCAGTGACAGGCACTGTCTCTTAGCCAGGTGCATGCTGGGATTGTAGTCTTCCCGCCCTATGACCAAAGGGTTGGGTATGTTTATGAGAATACATATCCCACCAAGTCCAGCGAGGCGTGCACAATGCCGCCTCATTCTGCAGTTACGCGCACTATCCTTGATCTTGGTGCATACTGGGATTGTAGTCCGGCTGCCCTGTAATGAAAAGTCTGGGTGTCTTTATGAAACTACATCTCCCAGGAAGCCAAAGGAGGCTCGCAAAACTGTGTCTCTTCACCCAGGCACATGCACTATCCCTGATCCCGGTGCATGATGGGAATGTAGTCCTGCAGCCCTGTGACCAAAGGGCTGGGAGTGTTTATGAGACAGCATCTCTCAGCAAGCAAAGCAAGGCCTGCACAGCCCCGCCTTTTCCTCCAGTGAGGCGCACTGTTCATTAAGGAGTGTTCATGAGATTACATTTTCCATCAAGCCCAGCGAGTCACGCACAGCTCTACCTCTTCCTCTGCCAGCGCGCACTGTCTCTGATTCCGGTGTATGCTGGAATTGGGGTGCTGCAGCCCTGTGACCAAAGGGCTGGGAGTCTTTATAAGACTACATCTCCCAGCAAGCACAAGAGGTGCTCACAGCCGCACACCACCCTCCCCGCCCCCCTCTTCTTTCAGTGACCGCGCACTGTCCCGTGAACCTGGTGCATGCTGGAATTCTCCCGTTGCGGGATTCAGGAGGATGAGAGAGACCCCGGGTTGAAACAGGAGAATTTTTATTGAGTGCACTCAGTGTCAGGCCTCTGAGCCTAAGCTAAGCCATCGTACCTTCTGTGACCTGCACGTACACATCCAGATGGCCGGTTCTTGTTTTAACTGATGACATTCCACCACAAAAGAAGTGAAAATGGCCTGTTCCTGCCTTAACTGATGACATTGTCTTGTGAAATTCCTTCTCCTGGCTCATCCTGGCTCAAAAGCTCCCCGACTGAGTACCTTGTGACCCCCCCACTCCTGCCCGCCAGAGAACAATCCCCCTTTTTCCTTTACCTACCCAAATCCTATAAAATGGCCCCATCCCTATCTACGTTTGCTGACTCTCTTTTCGTACTCAGCCTGCCTGCACCCAGGTGATTAAAAGCTTTTATTGCTTACACGAAGCCTGTTTGGTGGTCTCTTCACACGGACGCGCATGAAACTGAGGACAAGCTAACTCACATCAAAAAGACTGGGCCCGGAACAAAGACAGAACCTGACTTTTATGCACATTTCACAAAAGGTGGTGGGCTAGCTTGAAGCAAGTTTACAGTGGCGTGAAAGCAGGGATACAGAGGCAGGACAGACAGGATTGCACATGACCGTTGCCAAGCAACCCACATGTCCATTTTCTAGGTTTCCCTGGGCATGGGCTTATCCTATAACCCTCACTATGGTGCCCAAACAGCTGTAGTTCAGCCTACTCAGGCTTCTCATGACTTACATTGTACTTCTTAGATAAAACAGAATACTTGAAGTCACTAGTTACAGAGAACAAGAATCTATAAACTCATTCCGTAAAAAAAGGAAATTTGTTTTTCTTTTCCCGATGTTGGGGGAGCGTTGGGAGAACCTCCAGAGCACATTAGATAATATTATCAAGACTATTCCTGGTTCTGGGCTGTGCCTGTTGAAGCCTCTGGGACAAGTCAGCCCAATACAAGAAAATTTATTTCTCTTTCTTTTTAATTTTATTTTTCTTTAATTTCCCTCCTCAGTCCCACAGCCCTGTGACCAAAAGACTGGGAGTGTATGTCAGGCCTCTGAGACCAAGCCAAGCCATCGCATCCCCCGTGACTTGCACGTATACGCCCAGATGGCCTGAAGTAACTGAAGAATCACAAAATAAGTGAATATGCCCTGCCCCACCTTAACTGATGACATTCCACCACAAAAGAAGTGTAAATGGCCGGTCCTTGCCTTAACTGATGACATTATCTTGTGAGAGTCCTTTTCCTGGCTCATCCTGGCTCAAAAAGCACCCCCACTGAGCATCTTGCGACCCCCACTCCTGCCCGCCAGAGAACAAACCCCCTTTGACTGTAATTTTCCTTTACCTACCCAAATCCTATAAAACGGCTCCACCCTTATCTCCCTTCGCTGACTCTCTTTTCGGACGCAGCCCGCGTGCACCCAGGTGAAATAAACAGCCATGTTGCTCACACACAGCCTGTTTGGTGGTCTCTTCACACGGACGCGCATGAAATGTACAGTTACGCTTCTGTTCACTTGTCATGAGACTGTTTTCTTTTACCCCCATGAACGTACTTACCATAGCTTCTTTCAAATCTTATCTACTGATTACAGCATCTTGCACATCTTGAGAATAGGTTCTATTGTCTGCTTTTTATCTTGTGAATCGATTACACTTTCATGCTTCTTCACACATCTCATGAATTTTTAAATTGTGTGATAGGAACTACAGGGACTCTGGATTCTGTTGTATTTCTTTGAAAATTATTATTTTAAGAGAGAGTTAATTTGAATAGATTCAAACCCCAATCCTTATCTCTTCCACAGTGGCATAGATAAAATCTTCATTCAGTCTTCTAAACAGTGTGCCTTTCTATATAGCAAAATATAGTATTTTATTAAGCTTTATTATTGTTATCTGTGAAATAGTTATTCAACGAACTAGTCTACTTCATTATTACTGGAAACCAGAACCTCAGTTGTGTTCACTTTCTGGATTTTATATAAGTGAAATTATATAATATGTATACTTTTACATCTACTTTCTTCTAGGCAACTTTATATTTATGATATTAATTCATGCTATTGCAGATAGCTATAGTTTGTTTATTTAAAAAATATTTTTTACATTTTGGCAAAGTATACATAAAATTAACCATCTTAACTATTTTAAGTGTTCAGCTCAGAGAAATTAACTACACTCACATTGTTTTGCAACTATTATTCCCATTCATAAGGATCTTTTTTCAACTTCCAAACCAAAATTCAATACACATTAAATAACAGCTCCCTGTTACTCCCCCTCCAGCTCCTAGGAACCACTCTTCTACGTGGGTTTCCAGAATTTAACTACTCTAAGTATCTCATAAGTGGAATGATACAGTATTTGTCCTTTTATGACTGGCTCATGTCACTTTGCACAATGTCCTTAAGGTTCATGCATGACGTACCATGTGTCAGAATTTCCTTATTTTTCATAACTGAATAATATCCCACTGTATGTATAAATCACATTTTATCTATTTATTCATTGATGATAATTCAAACAACACAGGTAATTCAAAAACCTTTTGAGTGATGTGAGTCATGCTGCTATGAGCTTAGGTGTACGTGTATTATTTTGTGTCTTCGCTTTCACATCTTTTGCAACATACCAAGATGTGAAATTGCTGGATCATACGGTGATTTTGAGTGTAAATTATTTCGTTACTATGGTGTTGTTTTATAGCAGCTGCAGCATTTTACATTTCCACCAAGTGTACAAGGGTTCTAACTGCTCCACTTCCTCACCAACACTTGTGATTTTCTGTTTTTTTTTCTTTTTGTACTAGTTATGCTGATGTGCATTAAGTGATATGTCATTTGGGGTTAGATTTTCATTTTACTAATGAAAATGAAAAGGTTTTGTTGAGTACCTTTTCATGGGCTTATAAGCCACTTCACATAATTTTTAGAGAAATATCTGTTTAAGTATTTTGCCCATATTTTAAACAAGTAGTTTATTATTGCTGAATTGTTCTTTGTATATTCTGGATAGAGTCCTCTTTATCTATTTTTCTTTTGTTTCTTGCGTTTTTGGTGTCCTGTTAAAAGAAATCACTGCCAAATCCAGCCTTATGACGTGTTTTACCTACATTTTATACTAAGAATTTTGTAGTTTTAGCTCTTACATTTAGGTCTTTGATCCAGTTAGTTAATTTTTTCTTATAGTAGAAGTTAAGGGCCCAGCTTCACTCTTTTACATGTGGGCACCCAATTTCCCCAGCACTAATTGTTGTAAAGGCAGTTCATTTCCCATAAAAATCATTTGACCTTATATATGAGGGTTTATTTATATGGGCCTTCTATATTACTCCATTAGTCTCTTTGTAGCATGCTATTTTGGAATTTTGTAGTAAGTCTTGAAATCATTAAGTGTGACTTGTCTAACTTTGGTATTTTTTTCAAAATTATTTTTGCAATTTAAAGATCTTTGAGATTCCCCATAAACTTAAAAATTGATTTTTTAATATCTACACAAGAGTAATTGGCATTTTACTTCTTCGTTACTTCCTAACTACTTTATTCTTTTGATACTATTGTAAATTGAATTGTTTTCAGAGTTTTCTTCTCAGATTATTCATGTTACTACATAAAATGCAGTTTGTTTTTGTATGTTGATTTTGTATGCTACTATTCAGCTGAATTTATTAGTTGTAATATTTTTTGTGTGGAATCTTAAAGATTTTCTACATATAAGAATATATTTTCTGTACACACTTTGATGCAGTTTATTTCATTGTCTTTTTTAATTTCTCTGAATGAAACTTCTAATACAGTGTTGAATAAAAGTGGCTGGCAAGAGCAGATATTCACTCTGTCTTCGGAGCTTAGAGGAAACACTTTTGATCTTTTCCTCTGGAATATGTTGTTTGCTGTGGGTTTTTATATGTGAATTTTACAAAGCTAGTTTCCTTTTATTCCTAATTTATTGTTTTTATTATAAAATATTTTGAATTTTGTAAAATACGTTATCTGTATTAATGAGAGAATACTTTTTAAAAATTTTGTCAATGTGGCATATGCATTGATTAATTTTCATATGCTTAAACTTTTGTTAAGAAAGGCTAGCTAAGTGAACCAGTGAGACTGGAAAAAGAATAAAGAAATCTATACTGGTTGTGATCAATTATTTGTAAACACCACTGCACTGAAACCACCCATATGCTAAAACTTCCTTTCATTCCAATAATAAACTCCCCTTGGTCATGGGTTGTAATCTTGCTAGTATGCTGCTGAATGTAGTTAGCTAGGATGTTGCTGACTAGTTTTGCATCCGTGTTCATAAGGGATATTAGTCTATGGGTTTTTGTAGTATCTTTGTCTGGCTTCGGTATGAGCTAATGGTGGCTTCATGGAATAAGTTTGGAACTGCTCTCTTCAGGCTTTTGGTAGACTTTGGAAAGGATTTTTGTTCTATAAATGCTTGATCTAAATCACTAGTGAAGCCAACAAAATAAGGGCTTTTCTTTATGAGGAGGCTTTTAATTACTGATTCCATTTCCTTTGTAGTTTTGTATCTATTCAGATTTTGTATTTCTTTGTAATCAAGTCTTGTATACCTAGGAATCTGCCCACTTTATCTACGTTTTCCAATTTATCATCCTATCATAGTTCACAGTACAGTTTTTTAAACATTTTAATTCTTTGAATTAGTAGTAATGTCCCACTTTCATTTCTCATTTTAGTATGTGAATATGCTGTTAATTTTTTGTGTGTGTAGCTGAAAGTTTGCCAATTGTTAATTTTTTGAAGAAGTGAGAATGAACTTTTGGTTTTTTGGAATTCTGTGGTTTGTATAATCTCCATTGCATTTATCTCTGCTAAAAGCTTTAATATTTTCTTCTTTCTCTTTGCTTTGCATCTAATTTGGTGTTATTTTTCTAATTTACTAGGTGATAAAGTTATTATTTATTTGAAATCTTTGTTCTTTTTAAATGTATTTTAGCTGCAAACTTTACATCTTAGCACTCTTTTTGCTGTTTCTCTTAACTTTTGATGTGTTTTGTTTTCATTTTTCTTCCTCTGTAAGTATGTTCCAACTTCCTCTGTGATTTCTTCCTTTACTTATTTGTTGTTTAAGGGTATGTTGTTTAATTTATACAGTTTTGTAAACTTTCTAACGTTTCTTCTGTTATTGATTTAATTTGAGATCTACTACACAGCCCATCGTGGGGAAATCCCCATGTGCATTTGAGAAGAGTGTGTAGTCTCTTTTGTTGGATGGAGTATATTGTATATATCTGTTAGATCAATTTGGTTCATTGAGTTATTCAAGAACTCTATTTCCTAATTTATCATCTATCTCATTTTTCTATTCATTACTCAGAGTGGAGTATTAACATCTTCAACTATTATTTTAGAACTGCCTTTTTGCCCCTTTAATTCTGTCAAGTTATGCTTTCTATATCTCAATGTTTTATTATTAGGTATGGGTTTAAACTATTTCTATCTTCCTGCCAAATGGACAATCTATGACTATATAATGTCTTATTGTCTCTTTTAAGTTTTTAAGTCTATTTTGTCTGCTATTAATATAGTCATTCCCAGTCTCTTTTTCATACTATTGGTATAAAATAATTATTTTCTTCCTTTTTTTTTATAACCCTCAAGTCCTGTGGAAGGCTAAGAGCAGCATTACTTAATTTAAAAAGCAGATAAATCTTAAATCCATAGTTTAATATTTCTAAAAGCATTTAAATGGAAATGAGCTACGCAGTCTACCAGGAACGAAGGATATCAGTTGGGTCTAAGAATAATCATGTCAAAAAGCTCTAGGAGGAAAAGGTGCTGGGAATTAAGACTGTGATAACGGTCTTTGGGATCAAGAAGGAAATGGGGAATTGGGGATGCTCAAGGTCAGGTACATGCTTAGCAAAAGACCCAGAAAACCCTAAGCTCTCACCTCTGCATTTTAAACTCTGCACAAGTAGAAAGTAGAGGCGCAATGACAGATGTAACTTTATGCTGATTGGTAAAGGCATGCTCCAACACACATACATAGATCTCAGGTGAAAAAATCAGATATTTAGGTTTAGTGAGAGTTAAAAAATCTGGAGTCTTACTTTCCAATTAAGGTTTAGTGAAAATATTTGGGGAGATTTGCATTGATCAATTCATCCTGAGGTCAAGAAAATCTTGATTTTGGCATTTGGAGCCTCTAGTAAAGGACTAGCCTCTTCCCAGAGGTGTTCTTTGGGCTTTTGGACTCAGTGACACACTACTGGTTACACTGATTTGAAAGTCAGCTAAGAGCTTGCTGCAGAACTCCTGACAAACTCAGTTTCACCCATAGAGGGCTAGAGCATCCCCAGCTGGTTGAAATTTTATGCCTCCTTCTATCCTCTGAAGCAAAGATGCTGTCTCTGTGGGGCCCCCAATTTACTGAGTGTTTCCTATATGACTGGTCCTGGTTCATAGATGAGTCAGGGAAGGTGAAACCTCATGATGTCCACTGGGCCGCTGTGGCTGTTTAACCTGTGCCAGCCATACAGAACCTGACATGAGAGTTGCTCCTCTCAAACGTCAGAACTCAGGGTTTGGGATAATGGCACATATTCTATCTGTTTGGTTATCTACAATGGAAACTGTAGACTGTCTGAATGTCTTTTGGGCTGCAAACTGGAGACAATCTCAGATGCTGATCTAACTGGATCACTCATCTAGAAGTCCATGGTAAGAGTTTGTTTTCTAGAGAGTGACAACAATCAAGCTGCAGATTGAACCTAAATCTGTGTCTAACGCAGAGTCTAATACTGCAAACCAGACTTGGGGTTGCTGGTGAAAGTTGACCTATTTGTCTCATGGTTGAAGAACTCCTAGACCATACCAAGCAGAGTAACCAGAAGTGGACTTTTGGCCCACTTCTTGAGATATCAGTCACCACTCTTGACATCTTCAGCATAACAGTATGCTGACACCATCCATACCATGTGTCCCGTGAAGCTAATCTGTGCCATCTTTTAGGCTTTTGAGACCAATTGAGCTCTGACTTCGCGGCATTTTTCACCACACGTACTAAAACAAGCCAACTCTATGATGTTCCCTCCTTTTCCACACATGCTGGTTAGATAATTTGTTGATTAGGTATGGTTTATTTTCTCTTCCTGATTGCCTCCAAGATAAGGATGAAATGTTTGGGGGATCTAGGAATCATCTAGGAATCTATTTCACAAACTTGGAATTTCGTGCTAATAATTCCTGGGTGAAATGTGACTTTCTTTCCCATAACTGCAATTCTAGGCAAGCCTGGCTTTTGTATCCTCTGAGTTGCATCTCAGCCTAGTAGCAGTTATGGGACTCCAACTTAGTTCCAGCTAAGTTTTATGTAAATATTCTTGTCTCTATTTTACCTGGCTCTACTAGATAAAGTGTCTAGAAAAAAGTAGAGGGTGACTAGAATAAAGATGAGATTATAGGTACCGGAATGAGACACACTGATTCTGTGGAAGTAGTGGGAGAACAACCTGGAACCTGGGGTATGAACAACACAGACCTCGGAAGCTACGGGAAACGGTGGGACATTAACAACTTTTTTTCTTTCTGAACAACCCCTGGTGCAGCCCACAGAAAGGTCTGGAAATACTATTAGTTAGATCAGACGGTAAGGCAGAGACTGTGGATTCATCTCCTTTTGGTCCCCACATTACTCTTAAGAATCCTTTGAGACTATTCTATCTCTCCGTGATGTAGGCATGGAACTCTAGTGGGCAGTGTGCACTCTCGGTGCCCATGGTTCCAGGCCACAGTTTTTCAGATGATGGACAACCATTGCTTTTTCCTGAAGAGACTTAGTACCCTGTGGCTGAGCTTAAGCGGGACTCTAGACAGCATTGATTGCATTTTCTTCTTCCTCTACGAACTGGGATTTCTCCTTCTGTTTTTCTACTGCCTAGAGGTGAATCTGTATTTGTCAATATTTAGGTAAATCAGAGACATAAATCAGGTAAGGAACCCTAGACACTGCTTCTAGGCTAGCTGGACTCTTGCCTATTTCCCTTCTCACTTTATGAGATCAATTATATTGGCACAGGTTGATACCCTTAGATAGTGTCTCTAAGGAGCAATTAGAGAAGCATACTTCTAGAGAAGCTGGTAGGACAGGGCAGGAGGGCCAATGAGGATCAAAGTTTCTGTCCAAATTTTTGAGCCTAGGTGTGTGTGGCCGACGAATCCAGGAAAGATCCCAGATCCCTGGAAGGGATTGTTAAGAGAGGATCCATTAGATTAGAATGCTAGGGTGGGTGTTCATCCGTCGCCTTCTGAGTGGGATTTTCAGGGTTAAGACTGAGGTAGGGCTGCAGAGAAATGCTATCCTGGGAAAGCCTCTGATCGAGTGCAACATAGGTGGCTCCAGCACAAGGAGAAGTCCTCTATTTGAGGAACATTATACTTGTGTGGATGTGTCTGTGCTCTTCCTCAGCAGAGCCCCACTGACTGAATGATTGTTTGAGAATTATGAGTAAAGAGCCCTATATTATTTTGAATTTAGTAAATATTGGAAGAGAAACAAACAATATTATCTACTTTCAAATTGAATAACAGCATGAGCAACTTCCAGGAAAATGTCACAGGAGGAAACTCCAGGGCCTTGCTCATCCCTGGAAACCTTGAAAATCCTGATGCAACCTGTAGGGTTAAACTTATCAATACTTAATTTTTTGCCATATAGATTTATCTTCATAAAAGATATTTTCATTGGACCTTCATTTTGATATATGGCATGAAGAATAAATCATTTATTTCCTTTGTGATAAGAACATCACATTTTTACACCTCATGTATAAATGATGCCATCACCCATGTAGTTTTTATTGCTATGGCCTGAATGTTTATGTCCCCTTTCAAATTCATGTGTATAATTTTAGGCGTCAGGCCTTTGGGAAAGTGGTGAAGCCAAGAGTTCTTCATCTTCATGAATGGAATCAGTGCTCTTTCAAAGGAAGTTGAAGGGAATGCCCTTGTCCCATGTGCGAGATGGTACCATCTATGGGGAATAGGGCTCTCACCATATACGAAATTTGCTGCTGCCTTGATCTTGCACTTTCCAGACTCCATAACTGTGAAAAATACATTTCTCTTATTTATCCTTTACCCAGTCTAAGGTATTTTGTTATAGCAGCCAAGATGCACTATGACACTTTCTTAGACACTTTGGTTTATTTCTGAATTTTTAGTTTCAGTGATCCATGAGTTTTTTAATCAATCAAGATTTTACACAGGGCTTGCCAGTGGGTTTTTTTTTTTTTTTCAGAGTTTTCTTGTCTATTCTTGTTTGTGTTTTCATCTATATAACATTTTATAGTAACGTGTACTTGCAATATTTAATGGTATCAGTATAGGAACAAAATTGAATTTATAAATAACTATAAGGACAATTGATATTGATAATATTGAGTTTTTCTGCCTAAGAATATGATACAAATTGTCTATTTGCTTATGTCTACATTCATATATTTCATAAACTTTCTATGTTTTTTCCATATTCCGTAGATATTTTTGTAATATTTATTCCTAGTTTATTCTGCTAAAAAGTAATTTGAGACACAATGAAATTGCAAAGTGTTTATTTGAGTAAGAGCAATTGATAAATTATAAAATATCAGACGGAAAGATATTGAGTGCTTCATTGACAGTGTAAGAAGCAAGTATTTATTTGAAAAATGTAGAAACAAAGAAATCATTTGGTGGTAGCACAACTTTTTTTATTGGTTTTTGTTTGTCTGTTTACCTTGTTGGACAGTTTCTATTTATATAAGGTTGTTGGCTACTTCTGACTGGTTGAGCTTCATTTCTCTTTTTTCAATATGCAGCTACAAGAAATAATGTAAGTTTTGTTTGTATTTGCAAATCAAGCGAGGTTGAGATCACTTATGAGACCTAACTAATTTTGTCTGCTCAGAGATTATTGAGACATGATCTCCATTTTAATTTCCTTTAACAAATTTTCTGTACTTTTACTTTCCATCCAAACAGTAACTTATAAATTATTATTGTTGTACATATGTAGGCCCATGTTGTGTATGCTTTGAAGACCTGTCCTGCATTCAAACTCATTTGTATTATGTTATTATTGAATTTGCCCCATTTATTGGAATTATAAACTGCAATCCCCCAACTACAAGAGGTATGAGCTCTGATGAGATAAGATTAAAGATGAATCAGAAGTGAAAACAGTCCTCCAACCCACACATGCAGTAAAAACAAATTTCACATGAATACAATGAGTAATTATTTAAAATTTAAAGTACCCTGAAAACATTAATGTTTATCTCATTATTATGTAATATGGAAATTACAAGGCAAAAAAATCCAAAGACTTACTGTTTAAATATAATTGAAGTTTTTTATATGATGAAGTGCTCCATAATTTAAATGTAAAAAGCCAATAGGAAATATATGAAATAAAATAAAATTATACGTAAAAGTGACAATGCCTCTATTAGATTTAACAGTATCTTACAATAGAATAAGTTGAAACCTACAAAATGGAAGAAAGTTTAAAATTAGGCAGATATTATCAGCCTGGTGAAGAATAAATACATATGTCAATAAGCATTTAATGTATTTTGTCTTAGATTTTACATGAAATAATAAAAAGTAAGCAAACCAATAGCATGGTAGTTTCACCCTGATTAATTCAAACTGAAAAAATATTAACATTTCTCCATGAGAAGTTGGATTCATGGATTGGCCTCATGCTGCATTCAAGGCACTTTAGCCAGGATCCAACACTCATTGCCAAGAGTCAGCAGGCTAGAAGTTTGCTTTTAAGATGTTCCCCGGCCTGCGACCAAGACGCTTTTTCCTGACTACTTCTTCAACTCTGACATAGGTTTTGCTGATATAAACGCAAACCCGGCTCTATACCTACCAAGTATCTACTTGGCTAGAGCTGCAAATGGAGCATTTAGGCACTAGGCAAGAGCTCTTCCCACGTTTCCAAGCACACTTTCTAGAATTTCCCAAAACTACTGATATTGTCTTTCAGACCCCATCTCCCAAAGAGAATCAGAGAGATGGTCTGGAAGCCATTTAGAATCTCCAGCCTCCAACCTAGTAACAATGGACTTGGATACAAAGACGCAACCTACTGACCTCAAAGACACCAGCCCAGATTCTGGGCATTGAATTCCTGCCTCCCCATGAAAGATCTCAACTGAGTCACATCAAAGCCCACACTCTTCTTCAAGGTTCACCTTCCAGACACGCTCCAAAACAGTCCCTCAGAATTGTCTTGAGATGAAACAAAAGGTGATGAAGGTCCAGGTTTGGAATGCCTGCCTCATTCTTCACTCCTGAAAAGTCTACACCTGCTGGTTAGCACTCTCATATGTTAGGGAGCCCGGGCTCTGAGTGCATCCTTTAACAGGACCTCCTGGCCTTTTCCTACTTGGAGTAGAGTGCCCAAGAATAATAGGGAATACAAGGCCTCCACTCTCACATGGCTTGATTGACTGATGAACTGATGTCGGAGGAGGAAACATATGTAGGGAACAGCCTGGGTCTTGTGAATCCGTTTCCCAGCTATGATGCCTGTGCAAATGGAGGGAGAATCGTCAAGTATTATTGGGTGGTAGACAGACACTGCCTAATAAAATTAAGTAAATGTAAGGTGACTTGAAGGGGAATTTATCATATGTCATATACAAAATTTTAGTTGGTCAACTTTATTTAAAAACAGTCACAATTTGTAAGGGCATTCAAATATAATTTTAATAGGGAGCTATGAAAATTATCTGCACTTGCTATGTAAGTGATTGAGTTAGGGGTAACTATCTGAAGGTCATGAGCTTGATATCTGCTACTTAATTTCATAAGACATTTACTTGCAAATGGTTGCCATTTTTGCTCTCACTATATGAAAATTTTTTCTTGCAAAGAGCATTCCTATGAAAGAAAAACTAGAAATTTTGCCAATTTCGGCTATTAAAACGATAAAACTGGTTTGTTTGTTATTCTTAACCAAATGCTCTTACAGATGACACATAGTACCCATGCTTTGATTGTTTTTTGTTTTTTTTTTCACCTTAGGTCAATTGCCTTTCATTTTATTTATCAAACTGTATTTACTGTAGATAGACATTGCAGTTCTCATGTGCCCTATGGATTTGTACTTTCTTAGAAGTATGAATTCTCAGGCTGAGTATATTGGCTTATGCCTGTAATCCCAGCAATTTGGGAAGCCGAAGCAGGTGGATCACCTGAGGACAGGAGTTCAAGACTAGCATGGTCAACTTGGTGAAACCCCATCTCTCTACTATTCACAGTTCACATTGTACCTTGCAATGAATATACATTTTATCCAAAAAGGCTAAAAAATAATGAAATTGGGGTGGGAATGGCTGGAAGTATAGGTGAAACAAAAATGACACATGACTAGTAGCTGTTAAATCTGGGTGACTGGTCTGTTATCCTTTTTTTGTATTATGTATACGTTTTTAATGTTCTGTAATAAAACACGTGTAGAAAATGACAAAGTTTATCTACACTTAGCTCTTAAGGTCTTGGTTACCTTTGGGAAGGAGAAAGTGTCAAGAGCATGAGCAAATCTGATTCTTACATACACAAGTGTATTTATTTAGTAATAATTCATCAAGCATTCCATAAATATTTTGTTCCTATATTGCTGTATGCAAGTTATTCATCAATAAATATTTAAATAGTACATATTTGCATAACAATCCTAAATTAATATTTTAGAATAATAGTAATGTTTTGTTTTGTTTTAAAGTGGGGCGTGTTCACTCAGGACATCGTCAGGTGTATATTAATGTTCCAAGATATTTATTTACGTTTTAACTTTTGGAAGAGTCCCCTAGGTCTTTTAATTTTTACCTCAGTACAGTAAGTAGCATGGTTTTAACTTTTTGGATTGCAGCTTTGTTTTCAGAAAGGTTCTCCCCGAAGAATGATGCTCACCCAGGCCAGCGCACACAGCACAGTGACCCGTGCACAGGATGCACTGAGCACACACGGCACTGGGTGAACCAGGAACAGAAGGAGAAGCCAGCCTGGGTCTGCAAAATATACTTTGCAGGAAAAGCAGGTAAAATTGAAAGGTCACAATTCAGCAGCAAACGTTTTTACATTCATTTGAGAAATCATTTCTAACAAAAGCTGCTCGTTAAAGCCATGGTTTTCTGGCTCGCCTACACATTGTAATCACCTGCACGACTTTCAACCATATTTTTTTCAGATCCAGCTCCAAGGATTCTGATTTAATTGAGCGGTTACAACTTGGGTTTAAGGGATTTTGAAAGTTTTCCTCCCCGCAGGTGATTCTCTTGCGCCAGGGGTAAGAAGCGCTGGATAGGGGTGAGGGATGCTTTAGCTGTGAGAGATAGCCATGTACGCTTCAGGATTTGCCCCATCACATATCTGGAGTTCAGGGTCTTAGAAAATATTCTTGCCCTGTTAAAAATTAAAGGATGGCTTCAATACAAATTTAGCTATTTGGCTACGTTGCAGAAAAAGAAAATGCCTTTCCAGAGATCAGTTTTTTGAGTCAGAGTTTTGTTCTGTCAGTGAGGCTGGAGTGCAGTGGTGTGATCATGGCTCACTGCAGCCTTGACCTCCCAGGCTCAGGTGATCCTCCAGCTCCAGCCTTCTGAGTAGCTGGGACTGAAGGCATACACCAGGCATGGCTAATTTTTCAATTTTTTGTTGTTGTTGTTGTTGTTGAGATGGCTTTTTCTATGCTGCATGGGCTAGTCTCAAACTCCTTGCCTCAAATGATCCTCCCACATCAGTCTCCCAAACATTTCAACCTACAGGCACAGGCAACCATGCCTGGTGTATTTATTAAAATGTAGCTACTAGAATATTTAAAATTCACATGTGCCTCACATATTATTTCTTAGAGAATTGCCTCATTTTTGAAATCTCAGGCTGCCTGCTCTAAAACCTGGATGTGCCAGGAAAGTAAAAAATCTGAAATTTTAAAATAATTGTCATTATATTGCTTCCATGTATGAATAACACATATATATTTTTCATAAATACAAATAATCTTACACACAAATGAAAATGCAAGTATTTTACAGGCAGGGCCAGTGTCCAGTGCATGAAGGAAGCCCTGCCAGAAAAGGATCCAGGAAAAACCTATAATTCTTGCTTTATTCAATCCAGTGTCAAATCACATATGTCACTCATGGCCTGAGGGGGCTTGGTGGGGAATTGAACTATATCCAGTCACGGGTGCTGGAGTGGAAATTATCTAATCAGGTGCACAGCTGGAGAAGAATGGACAGCTTTTTGGATCTAGGGATGCCTTTGCCTGTCTCTCCACTCAGAGGTCAGTACACTAGAGCCACCTCAATGCAATCGCCTGTTTTTTAGTTGTTTTAATGCTCCAAAAAAGAATTCGTTTTCTCATGCATTTTCCAAATGTGTGGCAAGAAGAGCCTCAAATCTACCACCCTGTTACCCCAGCCTAACTCTTGCTTGCAGTCAGAGTTTAAATTTCCAGTTCTTTCCTGACACTTACCAACACTAACTAACCTTGTGTAACTCACAACATTATCAACTGTTCTTTATTGTACATTTTAGACACAGTATTTTAATTCTGCATTTTTTCAAAAAGCAGTGGATGGCACTTAAAAAAATATTTTTCATTTGTAAACATTTTACAGGACATGAAAGCAGATAATAATCCCCTGACAATCCACAGTAAAAAAAAAAGAAAAGAAAAGAAAAGAAAATATTTGTGCCCCTTTCTTTAATCTTGCCTTGGCACAGACACCCCATCAGAATGTCTTTGGGTTGAGGTTTCATTTCAGAAACCTCACAGGGCAATACATCCTCAGCCATCCTGTGTTATTTTCTTGGTTTTGGGTTTCAAAACTGCTTGAGAATCCCCAAGATACCAACACTGGCCATGACTCTTGAAGTGTCTAGTAAATAGCATCCCTTGTGTCATCTCCTCTCAGGGAACAGCCCAAGGTATGGGAATGCAGCCTCTTTTTGGAGTGGTTGGATGCACTATACCTGGAAGGAATCTCCACGTATACCTTTGCGTTAAAAGCAAACCCCTTAGGACATTAAGAATTTCTTACCCCAACGCTTAGTTTCCATTCCTTAGAGACACATTGCAGGCCAGGCAACTGGATGCTGATATTGAGGAAAAAATGTCCTCAGATTGGTGAAGGGAGAGAAAATATTTCAAAGGATAAAGAAACCCAACCTAGTGAGGCAGTGCAAAAACCTGCAAAGTAAAATGCACCTTACAGACACAGTGGAGCAGAGCGTAGCAGCTCCTGGTAGGACGCTCATGACCCACATCACTGAACCAGATAGGAGCAGGGAAAATATCCCAAGTAATAGAACGGCTTGACTTGACCCTTGGGTCAGATATGTCTGTGTTTCAATCAGCATTGTCACCTTCTAATTTTGTCACCTTGAAAATATGATTGTATTTATTTTAACTTCACTTTTTCATTAACTGTAAATTATGTTTTATCAGTAGAGCTTCAAAGGTATGAGAATATTTATAAAGCACATTAAGTTGGTGAATTTTGAATAAAATTAAGTAGTAATATATTTCACTTGTTAAAAATTGTTACTTGCCTATTTCTTTAGCAGAATGAGTGTTGTACATTTCCCAGGACTGTTTTTTATTTGTCTGAGAGGTGATTTCAAGCAGAATCTCACGGCTTACTGTTGGGAATGTTACCAGGTGTATAGATAGGGATAGTCTCTCTTCCACTACCGTGGTAGGAAATGAATACATACCTACAAGCACGTGAGGTAGATTAATTGTTAAATTACATAAATTTATCACATCAGTTATTCTTTTTTCAAAACAGAGAACTTCTGATAGTGAATATCTCTGTTTCATATGCTGTCATCTGGGTGTTTGAGGGTAACACTAAGTTTTAGGAGCTGGGACTTGGCACCGCCTGGAAGTGTTCACATATGATTGTTTACTAAATGATTTGTTATGAACATAATTAAATTACATGTTTATTTTCTGAAAGAGATAGATACTTTGGCTTTTCTTGATGAATTATAAGATATAAGCCCCTTATAATGTTTTTATTTTATTTTATTCTGTTATTTTTTAGATGTAGTTTCACTCTTGTTGCCCAGACTGGAGTGCAATGGCAAGACATCTGCTCACTGTAACCTCCACCTCCTGGGTTCAAGCGATTCTCCTGCCTCGGCCTCCTGAGTAGCTAGGATTACAGGCATACAACACCACACCTGGATAATTTTGTATTTTTAGTAGAGACGGGGTTTCTTCATGTTGGTCAGGCTGGTCTCAAACTCCTGATCTCAGGTCATCTGCCCACCTAGGCCTCCCAAAATGCAGGGATTACAGGCATGAGTCACAATGCCCGGCTGTAATTTCCTCTCTTTTATACCTTAGATTTGAATAATTTTTGCTGGATTCTTCAAACATGAAGTATTTTTTGAATTGGAAACTAACTGAATGACTAACTGGTAAGTAGAAGTCTTAGACCATCAACTAAAAGCTAAGGCCCACCTTGACCCAGCAAAAGAGGACCACTGAAGGCTCAGTTGATTATTCCTGGGTGTCTGCCCTGCAGGTGTCCAAGCCTACTCACACCAATCATGGAAGGAGCCTTTGTCACTGCCAGAAGATATAGAGCCTTGGTAAGCTGGAAGTTCACAGGCAGATGCAGTTGAGGTAGAGATAGAAGAAATGTTGGGAGATTCTTTTTAGAATGGAATTGTTATTGTCCTCAGACTGTTTCTAGACTTGGTCTAAGAAGTTACCTAAGAAGTATTGCAACAAAGAAAAAGTACAAATGATTAGATCTTTGAGTATCTCTAAGGTTAGGTGGAAAAGTGCCTTATTTCATAGGGAGGAGAAAACAAGTTTACAAAGAAGGTTGGAAAGGAAGCACAGGATGGAGGGTAGCAAAATGAGATCCCAGATAAGATAATGTTTCACCTTGAACTCAGCCTGTTCTTAGGAGGGTTATGTATAAATAAGGGTTGTAGGTTTGCTGAAGCTGTGGGTGAGTCAAAGTTCAGGGGCTGTTTGGAAGAAGAGAAACAAGCAAAGTTTCTGTAAAGAGTATGTTATTTTGACCACTGAAGACTAAATTACTGAATGGTTGTTGATTTTTAAAAATGGGAATTTGCAACCTGTGTCCATTTTTGTGATAGGTTAAAAAAACAGCAGGGAGCATCCTCAAAGTCATCACGGGAAGCACATTTCTCTTCACTAAGCTGTTCTTTGAGAATGCAAAGAATGGGGGAATTTCTTTAAATATAGCTATTTCCAGGATTACCTTCACCCACAACTGTTCCTTGCCCTAGACATCTCTTCCATTTGGCTGTTTCTGAGTTATATTTTTATAATAAAGTAGTAAATATAATTACAGTTATTTGTTGAGGTTTTCTTTTTAGTAATTCTATCAAATTATTTAACTTGAAAAGGGGTTTATGCTAGTCTCAGATTTATAGGAGGTAGCTCAGAAGTGTAGATGGGCTTCAGGGATGTGTAACTCTCCTCTACAGTGAGAGAGGTGATGTGGGACTGAGCCCTGAATTTGTGGGGTCTGTGCGAACTCTAAGTTGTGTCAGAATTAAATTTTGAGGCAACAAATGGGTGTTGGAGAATCAGTGGGTTTTCAGGGAACTTTCCACATTTAGGATCAAAAACATAAAAAGAAAGACAATGTGGGGGCCTCTGCTGGAGAGAGACTCCAGGTGTCTCGGGGAAGGTAGGCTCTGCTCTGCACACAGGCTGCTACACCATGCACTGCCCTGTGGTTCCAGGCATCCTCCCATGGTAAGAAGGACCGACGACTCTGAGGGAAGAAGTTCTGAGAACAGATGCCTTCTACCCTCCTGCCAACCTGAGGCCACCACATGTTTTTCACCCACTGAACATACACACTGCATGTTGACGTGGTCAAGCCCCTCCCAGCACAGGGCTTCGGCATAAAGATTGTGGCCCATGCTACCTATCCTCATAGACTTTCCCACCAAAAACCCACACACGTGCCTACAAGACCCCTGGCATATGCTCTACCTCAGACACCGAATCTGCAGGGGCAACCTGGTTTTTTCACCATCCCAGGTTTCTGTGCCACCTGATCATAATCTCGTCTTCCTGCATGGACACAGAAATAAGTCAGAGTAAAGTTTCACCTGGGTCAGTATCTGTAGCATGAACCAGTCCTTCCACCAACCCTGTAATGTCTCCCAATTGTGGGTTCTTAATAGCACCTTCCCCTCTTTTACCTTTTAGTTCACCTCAAACCTTTTATTTACGTGCACTTAGTGTGTCCAAGCCACCCCTCAGTTGCCTGAATCCAGCACCTACTAAAATTCAGATGTCCAGTAGTTCAAGACCATGGGCCTAGGCCATGTTTTTGCAGAAGGAAATACATATTAGAAATGAGAGGCTCTATCCTCCCATTTGAAAATTAAAAAAGATATTTTTTCTTTTCCCTTTTCTTAAACAATGTAATTTAGAGAACTTTTTTTAGTAATTTTTTGAGATGGAATCTTACTCTTTTGCTTAGTCTGAAGTGCAATGGCATAATCATAGCTCACTATAACCTTAACTTCTTGGGTTTGAGCAGTCCTCCTGCCTCAACCTCTTAATTACCTAGGACTATAGGCATGCACCTCCAGGCCTGGCTAACTTTATTTATTTATTTATTTATTTATTTATTTATTTATTTATTCAAGACAGTGTCTTGCTCTGTGGGTCAGGCTAGAGTGTAGTGGCATGATCTTAGCTCAATGCAACCTCCACCTCCCAGGTTCAAGCAATTCTCTTGCTTCAACCTTTTGAGTAGCTGGCATTACAGGCGCACAGCACCATGCCTGGCTGATTTTTTATTGTTATTATTTTTAGGAGAGAAAGGGTTTCACCATTTTGGCCAGGCTGGTCTCGAACCCCTGACCTCATTATCCACCTGCCTCCGACTCCCAAAGTGCTGGTATTACAAGCGTGAACCACCATGCCCAGCCATATTTATTTTATTTATTTTTTTATGGTGACAGAATTTCACCATGTTGCCTGTACTGGACTCAAACATTTGGCTTCAAGATATCCTCCTGCCTTGGCCTCCCCAAATGTTGGGATTACAGGCATGAACAGCCGTGCCTGGCCTGGAAAACTTTTATATGTATCTTTTTTTCTCTGCTTCTTTGAAATATAAGCAAATCATTTTAACAGCTAAATAAGCCTTTTGCCACCTTCATGACACAGAATTGTCTTTGTCTAAGACCTGGAAACTATTGTTTTGTTTTTTAATTTGGCAAAGATTTATTGATTTTTTATTTTCAGTCTTTTGAAGTAGGCACAGCTCAGTACAGTGGCTCATGTTTTTAATCCCAGTGCTTTGGGAGGCTGAGATGAGAGAATTGCTTGGGCCCAGGAGTTTGAGACCAGCCTGGGCTGCCTAATGAGTCTCCTTCTTTATAAAAAATTAAAATCAACTAGCAGGGCATGGTGGCACAGGAGGCTGAGGTGAGAGAATCATTTGAGCCCAAGAGTTTGAAGCTGCAATGAGCCATGATCACAGCACTCTACCACTGTACTCCAGCTTGGGTAACAGACGGAGACCCTGTCTCTAAATAAATAAGTAAATAAAAAAAAGTGTTTTTCCATACATAAAAATAAGTAAATAAACAGATAAATAAAATAGACATGGATTTGCTGAGAATAAAGCTAATTACAAGATAACAGAAAAGTGAGCACCAAAGATGGGGTTCACCCTAGCAAATTATTCCAGCCTATTAGGACACTCACAGAATTTTCCCTGCAGCATGACCGACATGAAAGTAGAATGTCATCATGTCAGGCTGTACCAGCGTTGGAAGACTAAACACTGTGGGGAAGAACCTCCCTTATGGAATATTATCAACAGGTGAGAGCCCAGCTCCTGCCCTGATGGGCTACAGAAATGAGTTCCTGAGATAACACATTGCAGAAACATGCATAGAGTAGTTTAACCTTTTTTGTGTGTAACCCTCTCACCATTTTCCTGCGAAATCCTCCCTAGTAATAGTGTTAGCTTTTAAGTTTTGAGGGTCCGATAGGACTGAAGCTGCATGCTGCAGGAGATACCTGGGGCCGGAAACTAATACAAACTGCAGCCACAGGCATAAATACTCATGGTCTAATGTAGAGTGAAAACAATACAAAATTCTTTATCGTTATTCGCACAAGTGTGTGAAGAGAGACTTTCCACATAACCAACTTGCCACTGAGACTAGTGAAGGCCAGATTCCACTGGAACAAGGCTATGAGTTACTCATGGGAAGGCCGTAGGACAAAGCCCAGAGATTTTTCATATTTGAGTCTGGGTCCTGGTTCTTTCCCGGTCTTCTCGGGTTTCTGTCTGTAGAGACCCCTATGTGGCTGCTCTCAGCACAGCCCAGTGCTGGCTGTGTTTGCTGGTTTAGTGCACCTGCTCTTTTCCAAAAAGAGGGAGGAGTTGGCCACATTAAACTGAATGATGAAGCTCCTCATCAATCTGAATGCAGCTTTGTAAATGTGCCTAGAAACCACGCAAAGAAAAGTCTGTGTTCTGCCTTGCTTTGACCGTATGTGACACCTCCATTAGAAATTCTGCTTTTCTCTGCACTCCAGCCTGGGTAACAGAGTGAGACTTCATGATAAATAAAAAAGAAAGAGAGAGAGAAGGAAAGAAAGAAAGAAAGAGAGAGATGGAAAGAAAGAAAGAGAAAGAAAAAAAAGAAAGAAAGAAGAAAGAAAGAAAGAGAAAGAAAGAAAAGAAAAGAGAAAAGAAGAAAGGAAAAAAGAAAAAAGAAAATAAAAGAAATTCTGCTCTTCAGATTAGGCACATAAGGAGAATCTGTATAAATCTCCATGAAGGAAGGAAACCAGAGGACAAGTTAAAGTCTTGGAATTCACATCTGAGTACACAGACTCATTCTCCAACCCTCTTCTTTTTATTCTGCCAGCTATGGCCTAGGTATGAACATGACAGGTACACAAGAGTTCCAACATCCGACAATCTACTTCAGTCCAAGAAGAGTGCCCTCCCTCTTGCTCCCCATCCAACTCATTGTACTAAGAAGTGGTGTGGAACTGCCCAGATGAGTTGACAAGAGAGGATGGCTTGGAGGGGCCTGTCCTGGGCTGCCCTGTGTTATTTGTAGGTGCACCCGGCCAATAGCCAGGGACATCAGTGATGAGGGCTCAGTTGACATCTGTGTTATCAGATAAGACTTTTACATTGAGCCTTTGTAAGGCTGAAACTCAGAAATTTCAGGGCACAATGAAACAGCATCTCACTCTCTTGAGCAACTCTCACAAACAGAGGTGGATACAGAGCTGTCTCAAGAATGTGGATTCCTGGTTTCTTAACTGCTGTTGGGTTCTGACACCAAGAAAGTGTGTTAAACTCTTCAAGGTTCCATCTACTGGGCCCTATGTTTCTGTAAGACATACCGAAAGGCCCCACTATGCTACTGATTGCTCAGTCTCCTCTTCCATGTCAACTCTTTATTTGTACACAATTATGCAAACACAACTTCCCCTTAATTCCCTGGAAAGACCTAAATGCAACCTGGGTTCCAGGAGAGAAGAGACAGCTGGAACATAACTTTGTTTTTCTTACCATCTCTGGGACCCAGTAAAAGTCACTGTATTCAAGGCTTCCCCAGCCTCCTAACATGCACAGTGGTGATGATGCTAACATCTACTTCCTAGGGAATGTATTAGGTGTATATAAGATAAGACAGTGGCCGGGCGCGGTGGCTCACGCCTGTAATCCCAGCACTTTGGGAGGCCGAGGCGGGTGGATCATGAGGTCAGGAGATCGAGACCATCCTGGCTAACAAGGTGAAACCCCGTCTCTACTAAAAATACAAAAAATTAGCCGGGCGTGGTGGCGGGCGCCTGTAGTCCCAGCTACTCGGGAGGCTGAGGCAGGAGAATGGCGTGAACCCGGGAAGCGGAGCTTGCCGTGAGCCGAGATTGCGCCACTGCAGTCCGCAGTCCGGCCTGGGCGACAGAGCGAGACTCCGTCTCAAAAAAAAAAAAAAAAAAAAAAAGATAAGACATAAAAATAATGATGTAGTGTCACCTGTAGATAATGCACACACTTAGAGATGGAAGCATTAGGAGAATAGGTGGGAGGTAGCATGGGCCACAACTCAAACAGGCCTGGTGTCTGCCAGGGTGATCTTGGAAATATCACTTCTCCACTGGGCCTCATTTTCATTCTGCTCCAGTATGAAGTTGAAATTAAATGTAGATACTGTCCTCTGGCATTCATATAGTTTAGCTGTGCGTCCCCACCCAAAACTCATTGTGTATTATAACCCCTAGGTGTTAAGGGAAAACCTGAGGGGAGATGATTGGATTATGGGGACGGGTTCTCCTCATGCTGTTCTTGTGATAGTGAGTTCTCACGAGATCTGATAGTTTCATAAGCATCTGGTACATCCCATGCTCTCACTCACTTCACTTGTCAGCCACTGTAATTGGAAGGTTTCTGAGGTGCCCCCACAATTATGTGGAAATGTGAGTCAATTAAACTTCTTTACTTTATAAGTTACCCAGTCTCAGGTACTCCATCATTGCAGTATGAGAATGATCTAATACAGGAATTCAACTTTCTAGTGCTTTCTCTTTATATTTAGAATCATATCCATGTGCCTTATCACTTCTATGACAGAGGAAGTCTTCACAAAGTCTCCCAGTACTAGGTATTGAGTGACTCAGTTTTTTATTGAATAAAATGGAATACTTCCTGATGCCAGTACTATGGCCCTTCGGTTTTGAGGAAAATATCATCTTGTATGTTGGCTAACAAGGAGATAGGAGTTCAAATCAAATTTGTTTTGTCATACTGGCTTTAAGGCAGTGATTAGAAAAGGCCTAATAGGTGGGTTCTGTAGGGGATTGCTGGAAGGAAAGTAGGAATATGGAAAGTCATGAGACATATACAGTCATCTCTTCTTGTTTCCTCACAGGTCACATACAAATTCAGGGAGAGTTAGTATGAAGCACACAATGGAAATTTGGGCTCCAAAGTCTGCAAACTGATGCTTCATGGACTTCAGTTGGCCATATTGGTTCCAACAATTTCAGCCAATGTTTAAAAAACTTATAGCAGTTAAAATTTTAGTGTTTCAACAAGCCGTTTCCTATCTTTCATTCTGAAGATCCATTTTTTAAGTCTTTTTTTTAACAGTATAGGGGGTACAAATTCAGCTTCTCTACAATGAAACACAGAAAAGGATATCCCTTTTGTATTAGTTCAGGCTGCTATGCCAAAGAACCATAGATAGGCAGCATATAGACAACAGGACTTAATTTCTCATACCTCCAGAGGTTCAAATTTGAGATCAGGGTGTCAGCATGGTTGAGATCTGGTGATGACTGGCTTCTGAATTTCAGCCTGCACACTTCAGGTTTTACCCTCATTTTGCAGGAGGATGAGAGCCCTCTGCGGTTTCTTGTATAAAGCCAGTAATCTGTATTATGAGGGTCCCACCCTAAGGGGTTAATTACTTTCTACCTCCTTATAGCATTACGCCCGGGGTTACAATTTTAACACAAATATAGAAGAAAAATTATAGTAACTCTCAAGTTTTTTTTCTTTCTTTCTTTCTTTCTTTTTTTTTTTTTTTTTTTGAGACACAGTTTCACTCTTGTATCCCAGGCTGGAGTGCAGTGGTGTGATCTCGGCTTACTGGAACCTTCGCCTCCCAGGTTCAATTGATTCTCCTGCCTCAGTCTCCCAAGTAGCTGGGATTACAGGCATGCGCCACCACATCTGGCTCATTTTGTATTTTTAGAAGAGACGGTGGTTTCACCATGTTGTCCAGGTTGGTTTCAAACCCTTGACCTCAGGCGATCCACACGTCTCAGCATCCCAAAGTGCTGGGATTACAGGTGTGAGCCACCGCACCCTGTCAAGATGTTTTTAAAGCTCTAATTTTTCTCCTACTGGGTTTTTCTCGTTTGCGCCCTTGATCTTTCTGTCTCTTTTTGTGTAAACCTTTTTGTCTAATTCTGTCTATTGTATTCCTCAAACACAGGAAGCAAGCTCCAATGCTATGAGATGCTCCATGTAGAGACCCACATAACAAAGGGTGAGGCGGTGCTCAGACGAGTAGAGAGAAGGAAAGTCAGGCTCTCTGTCCACACTAAACCCTGTCAATTTTCACATGAGTCAGCTTAAAGGCTCATGCTTTCCCAGTCCAGCTTCAGTTAAGACCACAGCCCTCAGTCTCATAAAAGACCTGAAGGCAGAGGTAGCCAGCTGAACTGTGTCCAGATTCTGGTCCACACACATTATGAGATATTATATGTTGTTGAAAAGTGCTGACTTTTAGGGCAATGTTGTCAGAAAGGAGCAGATATCTAACCTCATCTCCCAGGCCCTAGGATTCTCCATCCCTCTGCTTATCTCTTTCTCAGGCTGTCTGCAGCCAAATTAGTCCCTTTTTACCTCTGCCAAACTCACACCTATGAGTTTTTTCACTAAGGGTGGCTTCTCCCTGACACATGCTTGTGCAGATGCCTCCCTGCTGTCATCCTCATCATGGATTAAAAGTCACCTCAGTGACGCCTGAGGTCCTCCCATGCAATAATTTTCCAGGTTTTCTTCTCAATAATCTACTTTATATTATAGTCCTTGCTCTTTTCTTTCACATATACTTGCTTTAGTGCTTTTGTCCAGCGGTCCTCAGACTGTTTGGTCCTGGGTTGGGGGGTGCAGACATCATGTAATAATTTTCTGTACCACATGTTGGACCCACCAGGGTCGCTGGCAAATGGTGAGCGCAAGGGAAAAAAGACTGGCTAAGTGATTATATGGGGGATCCCTAATATCCCTTCCCCTTTTGACCACATGATAATGTGGACATCACTGATAACAACATGAGGTGTGTGACTGTTACTTGTTCCAGCTGCTCCAGCAAAGCTCAGTGGGCACCAGAAACACAGTAGGCTGTAACCACCTCCTGGCCATCACTAACCCTACAGCCCCAAGCAGGAGCACTACTGAACAAATCTGATACCTTGATTTTTCTGTCCTCAAGACACTGGTTCTTCAAGGTCCTAGGGGATAAAGTAGCAGGATCTGAAGGCCCCAAGTATAATGAGTGACCTAGGAATCCCGTTTTGCCCTCTCTTTGCCTCCACCTTTTTGGTTGTGCTACTTACTCATGAGGTATCCTCCCCTTATCCAGTGAAATTATTTTCTACCACTTTCAAATGAGGACCTTAAGAACGCAACAGTAGCTGAGATTTTCCGTGGACCTCAGCCTCAGAGTCCAGTGCTCTGGCACATTTAACTCTGTCTCATCTTCATCTACCCAAGATGCCTCTCAAGTGGCCATGCCTCCCTCTGATTTGAAGGATCTGCAGAGTGGGTGCATTTTTGCAGTCTCAGAGCAAGAATCCAGGCTGGCAGACACTTATGAGTATGTGAAATCATCAAGGTCACCCACTTCAGGCACCCCTATTTATGAGGAAGAAAACAGGCTTTCCTGTAGGCACTGTCTACATTAGGCTGAGGTGGAGCATAGCTCATTTTACTTCCAGTTGCCCTCAGAGCTGGATGCAGAACCCCAGTCCTGTTATCTTGAAACTGACATGGAGAGGACCCCATGTGAACAGAACCCTGAATCTGCTCATTTTCTGTGCTCCTGAATGTGTAGCTACAGACTCTAATTTCGAAAACAAACCTGATAAGTGGGACGGTGCCAAGGCCTAGGAAGCTGGAGCCCTCTCTAATGCTCTGGAGCCTGCCCACCTCCTGAGATCTGGACCAGTCTCTGCCTCTTCTGGGGCCTCAGTTTCCCAATTGTAATGTAATGAGAAATTAAATGTAAAACTGCATAAACGTATGCTCTGTGAGAATTTGGTGTCAGAGTTCTCAATACTGGATGATAATTTGGAGTGGGGTGGGTTTGGGACCCATGGGTTCTCAGGCCTCCTGTCACACCCAGTGCAGTAGGTGTAGAGCTCTGGACAGCCAGGTGTTCTTTCCTGAGCCAGCTGATTACAACACAATGGACCAAGGGCTCTGATCTTAAATATGGTTTCACAGGATACCCCACCTTCAGCCACCACCTGCTCTGTGCTTCCCATATTTCGGGGAGCTGATGACAAACCCCATTATAGTGAAGAAGAGCAAGAAACTAGACTTGTGGGCCTGGGGAAAAGAAAAAAACACTTCTATTTCTCCCAAACTGTAGAATCTCTTATCAAATATTTAATTTTGATTATATCTGAGCTTGATAATACATTCATGTGTTAACAGCTGCTTAAATTTATTTTTTCTGTGAAGTGTGGGATAATGTCTTTGCCGTATTTTAAATCAAATTCTAAAAGCTCTCTTTAGAGTGGATAAGTGAGCATCTTTGTAATATAAACTTCACATATTTGTTGACAGTTTGTTCTTTTTGTTTTTGTTAAAATGTTTTGTTTTATTCTGATTTAGATGTCTTTTGGGGTTTTGCTTTGTGGCTATTTATTACGACAGTGTAACTTCTCCTCTAATTGACTGACAGGTTTGTACATTCTCAATAAAATATTTTCATAAAATCTTTGTAAAAATTGTGTAGTCAATTTTACATTACATAAACATAAAACAGTAAAGACTATCATGATGAAAAAGAAAGATTGAGGGCTTAAAAAGTAAAATACGACACAGCTAAAGTAGTCTGAAAGGGAAATTTACAGCACTAAATCCCCACAAGAGAAAGCAGAAAAATGTCTAAAATCGACACCGTAACATCACAATTAAAAAAACTAAGGAAGCAAGAGCAAACAAATTCAAAAACTAGCAGAAGACAAGATTTAAGATCAGAGCAGAACTGAAGGAGATAGAGACACAAAAAGCCCGTCCAAAAAATCAATGAATCCAGGAGCTGGTTTTTTTAAAAGATCAAGAAAATAAATAAACTTCTAGCCAGACTAATAAGGAAGAAGAGAAGAATCAAATACATGCAATAGGAAATGATAAAGGGGATATAACCATTGATCCCACAGAAATAAAAAGTATCATTACAGAATATTATAAATACCTCTTTGCAAATTAACTAGAAAATCTAGATGAAATGGATAAATTCCTGGACACATATACCCTCCCAAGTGCAAACCAGTAGGAAGTCGAATCCTTGAATAGGCCAATAACAAGTTCTAAAATTGAGGCAGTAATTAGTAGCCTACCAACAAAATGAAGTCCAGGACCAGACGGATTCACAGCCGAATTCTACCAAAGGTACAAAGAGGAGCTGGTACCATTCCTTCTGAAATTATTTCAAACAATAGAAAAAGAGGTACTCCTCCCTAATTCATTTTATGTGGCCAGCATCATCCTGAAACCAAAACCTGGCAAAGACACACCAGAAAAAGAAAATTTCAGGCCCATATCCCTGATGAATATCGATGCGAAAATCCTCAATAAAATACTGGCAAACCGAATCCAGCAGCACATCAAAAAGCTTATCCACCACGATCTAGTCAGCTTAATCCCTGGGGTACAAAGCTGGTTCAACATATGCAAATCAATAAATAAAATCCATCACATAAACAGAACTAATGACAAAAACCACATGATTATCTCAATAGATGCAAAAAAGACCTTCAATAAAATTCCACACCTCTTCATGGTAAAAACTCTCAATGAATTATGTATTGATGGAACCTATCTCAACATAATAAGAGTTATTTATGACAAATGCACAGCTAATATCATACTGAATGGGCAAAAACTGGAAGCATTCCCTTTGAAAACCTGCACAAGACAAGAACACCCTTTCTCCCCACTCCTATTCATTATAGTATTGGAAGTTCTGGCAATCAGCCAAAGAAAGAAAGAAATAAAGCGTATTCAGATAGGAAGAGAAGAAGTCAAATTGTCTTTGTTTGCAGATGGCATGATTGTATATCTAGAAAATCCTACCATCTCAGCCCAAAATTTCCTTAAACTGATAAGCAACTTCAGCAAAGTCTCAGGATACAAAATCAATGTTCAAAAATCACAAGCATTCCTATACGCAATAATAGGCAAACAGAGAGCCAAATCATGTGTTAACTCTCATTCACAATTGCTACAAAGGGAATAAAATACCTAGGAATCCAACTTAAAAATGATGTAAAGGACCACTTCAAGGAGAACTACAAACCACTGCTCAAGGAAATGAAAGAGGACAAAAACAAACGAAAACAATCCATGCTCATGGATAGGAAGAATCAATATTATGAAAATGGCCATATTGCCCAAAGTAATTTATAAATTCATTGCTATCCCCATCAAGCTCCCATTGACTTTCTTCACAGAATTAGAAAAAAAACTACTTCAAATTTCATATGGAATCAAAAAAGGTCTTGCATAGACAAGACAATACTAAGCAAAAATAACAAAGGTGGAGGCATCATGCTAGCTGTCTTCAAACTATACTAAAAGGCCACAGTAACCAAGACAGGATGGTACTCGTACCAAAACAGATATATTGACAAATGGAACAGAACAGAGGCCTCAGAAATAACACTCAACATCTAGAATCATCTGATCTTTGATGAACCTGACAAAAACAAGTAATGGGGAAAGGATTCCCTATTTAATAAATGCTGTTGGAAAACTAGCTAGCCATATGCAAAAAACTGAAACTGGACTTCTTCCTTACTCGTTATACAAAACATAACTGAAGATGGATTAAAGACTTAAACATAAGACTTAAAACCATAAAAACCCCAGAAGAAAACCAAGGCAGTACCATTCAGGACATAGGCATGGGCAAAGACTTCATGACTACAACACCAAAAACAATGGCAACAAAAGCCAAAATTGACAAACGAGATATAATTAAACTAAAGAGCTTCTGCACAACAAAAAAAACTATATCAGAGTGAACAGGCAACCTAAAGAATGGGAGAAAATTTCTGCAATCTATCCATCTGACAATGGGCTGATATGTAGAATCTACAAAGAACTTAAACAAATTTACAAGAAAAAAAGAAACAACAACATCGAAAATGGGCAAAGGATTTGAACAGACACTTCTCAAAAGGAGACATTTATGCAGCCAATAAACAAATGAAGAAAAGGACATCATCACTGGTTATTAGACACATGCAAATCAAAAACACAATGAGAAACCATCCCACACCTGTTAGAATGGTGATCATTAAAAAAATCAGGAAACAACAAAGGATGTGGAAAAATAGGAAGACTTATACACTGTTGGTGAGAGAGTAAATTAGTTCAACCAGTGTGGAAGACAGTGTGGTGATTCCTCAAGGATCCACAATGAGAAATACCATTTGACCCAGCAATCACATTACTGGGTATATACCCAAAGGATTATAAATTATTCTATTATAAAGATACATGCATACGTATGTTTATTACGGCACTGTTCACAAGAGCAAAAACTTTGAAACAAACCAAATGACCATCAATGATAGACTGAATAAAGAAAACTTGGCATGTCCACATCATGGAATACGATGCAGTCATAAAAAGGATGAGTTCATGTCCTTTGCAGGGACATGGATGAAGCTGGAAACCACCATTCTCAGCAAACTAACACAAGATTAGAAAAGCTAACATCGCATGTTCTCACTCATAATAGGGAGTTAAACAAAGAGAACACACGGACACAGGAAGGGGAACATCACACACTGGAGCCTGTCGGGAAGTGGGGGACTATGGGAGGGATAGCATTAGAAGAAATATTCCTGGCCTAGGCCACTATTGCGATTTTCTAAATTTTGTTTCAAAAACATGATATGTTTCAAAAATTGTTATTGGTATGTAATTATATAAATATATAGTTCAGAAAAAAGAATCAACATTAATTATGCTTTTTCCAAAATACTTTATGGTTTTGAGCTCTTCTAGCAGTGACATTTTTGCTGTAGGTAATTGCTGTGTATCTGGTATATTCATCATAGCATACTTTGTGCCGTTTACACTTATCCTTCAATTTCCCACTCTCCTAAGTGTAAAAGTTCAAGGCCAGAGCTCCCATATCTTCCCAATATTACTTTTTGAAAAGAAGCTTCTATGTACTGTTTTCTCTGGGTCTTGATTGGATATATTGCTAAAAGAGCTGAAAAATAATAATTTTTTTAAAAATTCGGTGATGAGATTAAAGTAAATATATTTTATAAATCTAATGTACAAAATGAGGTCAGCTGAGAAGACAACGACAGTTGAAGCAGAACCTGAGATCCTGTTTCTCTCCATTGACATGTGAACTTAACTACAATTGGGTGAACAAAGCCAGTTGAGTTTGTAGCACCCTACATGAGAAAAAAGCCAACCATAACCACATTTAGAAGAAAATTTGGTCACATTTGTGCACTACAGAACAGCGCAGTTAGATAAAAATCTGTCCATTCCATGATTCTCCTTTGGGAAAGAAAAAAGAGTGAAATGCGTATGCAAACTTCTGACTTACTGAGTTATACCGGGGTTATCTAAAGACTGGAAATTGCTTCCTTTAACATTTAGTGTTGATGAGAATAGAGACTGAGTTTAAATGACAGCTTGGGTCAACTGAGAATAAAGATAAATGCTTCTTACAACAACAGAGACTGTAGTGCCTACAACAGTGACGAAGGGAAGAGACTAAAGGCTCCTAAGAGGAAACAGAGGTAAACCTTATTAACAAGAAAATACATACAGTAGTCCAAAGAAGACACATTTTGACAACAGATTGGAGAAGCTCCCAGTATGACTACTGTGGCTGAATGTTGTCAATTTTCCCATGTATAAAGCTCTTTCATAAAGGATAAAATAGGTAGTGGTTTCTTAATTGATCAAAACCTTAACAAAACTACAGTAAGTAAAAGCTACCAGGAAATATAACCCAATCAAAGGAGAAAAATATATATTCAAGTGAACCTAAAGAAGTGGAGATCTAGGAATTTTTTTTTAACTTAAAATCTTTTTATTTTTCTTTACTTTTTCATTTTATGCAGAGGATCTTACTTTATCTCCTGGGACAGAGTACACTGGTGGAATCACAGCTCACTGTAACCTCAAATTTCGGAAGTCAAGCAGTCATGCCACCTATGTCTCCTGAGTAAATATGACCACAGTTGTGCACATTACCCCTCCTGTATAGTTTCTTTAAAAAAATTTGTACAAACAGTATGTTGCTGTGTTGCCTCGGCTGGTCTCAAACTCCTGGTCTCAGGCAATCCGACTGCTTCAGTCTGAAAGTGCTGGCACAAGCTACCATACCTGGAATTGTTTCTCTTTTAAGAAAAAATAGCTTTAAATCATTAATAGTAAAATAAAACAAAGAAAGGTATTGCGTAACGATAAAGGGTTCAATTCAACAAGAAGACTTAACTATCGTAAATGTAGATGCACCCAACTTTGGGGAACATAGAGTTATACAACAATTACTGCTAGACCTACAATAAGACTCAAGTAGACACACAATAATAGTAGGGGAATGCAACTCCCCACTAAGTGTTTGACAGATTATCTAGGCAGAAACTTAACAAAGAAATTCTGGAGTTTGATTCGACACTTGATCAATTGAAACTAATAGACATTTATAGTATATGCAACACATCATCTAAAGAAAGTAAATTCTTCTCATCTGCTCACAGAATATGACAGGCCACAATGGAACAAAGATAAAAATCAATACCAAGAAAATCTCACAAAATCACAGAATGATATTGAAATTAAACAACTTGCTCCTGAATGAATTTTGGATAAACAAAAAAATTAAGGCAGAAAATTAAAAAGATTTTGAAATAGAAGAGACACAATATAACAAAATGTCTGGGTTGTAGGAAGAGCTCTGTTAAGAGGAAAGTTGAGAGTGCTAAATACCTGCATCAAGAAGTTAGAATGATCTCAAACTAACAATTTAACATCACACTTAGAGAAACTAGAAAAATAAAAACTAACTTACCCCAAAGCTAGCAGAATGGCAAAAATATTCATAACCTATGAACCTGACAAAATCTAATACTCAGAATCTATAAGAAACTTAAAGAATTCACAAGGAAAAAATTACCCCATGAAAAAGTGGGCAATAACAGACACTCTTCAAAAGAACACATACAAGTGGCCAAATAACATGAAAAAAGCTTATCATCACTAACCATCAAGGAAATGTAAATAAAAACCACAATAAGACACCATTGTACACCAGTTAGAATGGTTTTTGTTAAAAAGTAAAATGATAATAGATGTTGATGGGGTTTTAGAGGGAAAAAACCACTTATACACTGTTAATAGGAATGTAAATTAGTTCAGCCACTGTGGAGAGCAGCTTGGAGATTTTCCAAATAACTGAGAGTTAAACTGTGATTCAACCCAGCAATTTCACCGTTGGGTATATACCCAAAAGAGAATAAACTATTCTACCAAAATAGCACATGCACTTGTTGGTTCATCACTACACTATTCATAAGAGGAAGGACCTGAATCAACCTACGTGCCTATTCATGGTAATTTTTTATTTTTTTGAGATGACGTCTCACTCTGTTGCCCAGGCTGGAGTGCAGTGGCACGATCTCAGCTCACTACAATCTCCACCTCCCAGGTTCAAGCAATTCTCCTTCCTCAGCCACCCGAGTAGCTGGGACTATAGGCGCATGCCACCAAGCCTGGCTAACTTTTGTATTTCCAGTACATACGGGGTTTCATTACGTTGTCCAGGATGGTCTCGATCTCCTGACCTCATGATCCACCCGCCTTGGCCTCCCACAGCACTGGGATTACAGGCATCAGCCACCATGTCCAGCCTATTGATGGTAAATTGAATTTAAAAAGTGTCACATGTACAGCAATACTACTTAGCAAAAACAAACAAAAAAAACCTCCTTTGCAGCAACGTTAACACAACTAAAGGCCATTATACAAAGCAAATTAATGCAGAAATGGAAAATGAAAATACTGCATATTCTCACTTATAAATGGAAATTAACACTGGGTACACATGGACAGAAAAACAAAAATAATAGACAACTCTTAGAGGGTAGAGAGAGGGAGGGACCAAGAACTGAAAAACTGTCTACTTAGTACTATGCTCACTACCTGATTGATGGAATTACTCATACTTCAAACCTCAGCATTATACAAAATACCCATGTAAAAAACCTGTGTAGGTACCTCCTAAATCTAAAATAAATTTGAAATTCTAAAAAGAGGTCTTACTCTCTCACCCAGACAGGAATACAATACCATGATTATAGCTCAATGCAGCCTCAAGTTCCTGGGGAACTCAAGGAATAATCTTACGTCAGCCTCCAACTTCCTGAGACTACAGGAACATTCCACAATGCCTGAGTAATCTGGGAAAATATTTTTTACCAATAGCTTGTCACAATATTGCCCGGGGTAGTGTCAAACTCCTGGATTTAAGTAATTGACAGGGTTTGGCTCTGTGTCCCCAATCAAATCTCATCTTAAATTGTAATAATCCCCACATGTCCTGGGAGGGACCCTGTGGGAGGTAATTGAATCATGGGGGTGGGATCTTCCCATGCTGTTCTCATGATAACAAATAAGTCTCATGTGATCTGATGGTTTTATAAGTGGAGGTTCCCCTGAACGGTCTCTTGCTTGTTCCAATAATGGTGAGACCTCCCTAACCATGTGAAACTGAGAGGCCATTAAAACTTTTTTCATGATAAATTACATAGTCTTGTTTATGTCCTTATTATCAGCATGATAATGGATTAATACAGTAGCCCTCTTGCCTTAGCTTTCAAAGTAGCTGGAGTCACATGCACGTGTCACTGTGCCTGGCTAAAACACCTAGCTTAAAGATGCTCAGTCAGCTAAAGAAGAATATAGAAAACTAAACAGAAAAAGAAAACAATGCATGAAGATAATGAGATTATCAAAGAAGTGATTAAAAGTGCAAAATAGAAACAAAGTGTAGAGCTGAAAAGTAAAATACCTGAGTTTAGAGATTCACTAGAAAGTCCAACAACAGGTTTGATCTAGCAGGAAAAAATACAGCAAGCCTCATAAGAAGTCATTTGAAATTATAGGGTGAGGAGGCTAAAAATAATTTAAAAAATTAAGAGAGCCTAAGGGAATTATAGGATACCATTAAGATGGCCAATATACTCATAATGGGAATTCTAAAATAAAAAGAGAAAAGAGAGCAGCAAAATTATTTCAAGAAACAAACAGTGACAGAGAACTCAGAATTTGAGGGAGAAAATGACCTAAAATTTAATGAAACTTTACCAACTCTAACTAGTAACAACACAGGGAGACCCATGACAAGACACATTATAATCAGAGATTCAAAAGTTAAAACACCGAGAATCTTGAAGTCAGCAAGAAAAAAGTGACTTAGCATGTACAAGTTTACCCCTGCAGGATGACCAGCAGATGTCTCAGCAAAAAAACTTACAGGTAAGAGGTTGTAGGATGACATACTCAAAGTGCTGAAAAAATGGCAAGTACCAGCCAAGAACACTATGTCTGCCAAAACTATCATTTCAAATGAATTAAAAAATAAAAATAAAGAATATTCAAGATCAACAAAAACTGTATAAATTTATACCCACTAGGCCTGTCTTAAAAAATGCTAAATAGTCATTCACATTAAAAAATGAAATAATGATGAGAGCAACACAAAATTATGTAAAATATGACATTTTCTAATAGAGAAAATTATGTACACAATCATAATATTCTTTGTAATTATAATGAAGATGCACAGAATACTTTAATTCTGCTATATATTTGAGACAACAAAGACTTAAAAATGACTATAAATCTGTGCCAACAGATTCACAACACAAAATGATATAATTTGTGACATCAATAAAACACATAGGGAGCCATAAAGAGGCAGGGTTTTATATGTAATAGTAGTTATTCTTGGTAATATCTATAGTAACAACAAAGAAAATACCTACAGTTCTTAGGATTTTGAGACTAGTCTGGGTAACATGGAAAAACCCTGTCTCTATGCAAAATAACAACTGTTAGCCAGGAGTAGTGGTGCACATCTGTGGTCCCAGGTACTCAGAAGGCTGTGGTGGGAGGATTGTTTGAGTTGAGCCTGAGAGGCAGAGCTTGAGTAAGCAGAGATTGTGCCACTGCACTCCAGCCTGGGTGACAGAGCAAGACCCTGTCAAAAAAAAAAAGGAAATACCTATAGTACACACACAGAAAGACATACACACACAGAGAGTAGTGAGAAAAGAATTAAAACATGTCACTACAAAAATCAATAGTACACTAAGAAAGAGAACAAGAGAGAAAAACAGGAACGAAATAGCTACAGGACCGGCCAGGGGCGGTGGCTCACGCTTGTAATCCTAGCAATTTGGGAGGCCGAGGTGGGTGGATCAACGAGGTCAGGAGATCGAGCCCATCCTGGCTAACACGGTGAAACCACGTCTCTACCAAAAAAAAAAAAAAAAAAAAAAAAATAGCCGGGCGTGGTGGCAGGCTCCGGCAATCCCAGCTGCTGGGGAATCTGAGACAGGAGAATGGCATGAACCCGGGAGGCGGAGCTTACTTTGAGCCAAGATCTCACCACTGCACTCCAACCTGGGCGACAGAGAGAGACTCCGTCTCAAAAAAAAAAAAAAATGCTGCAGGACCTAAAACAAAAAAGAAACAAAATGCAATACGAAATCATTCCCTTTTAGTAATTTTTTTTATATAAATCAATTATGTCAATCAAAAACATACTTTCACTAAATAAATTCATGAAACAAGATTCAACTCTCTGCTTCCTACAAATAACCAAATTATGATCTGGAACACATATAACCTGTACATGAAAGAATAATAAAAAATATTAAATGCAAAATCAAATACTGTCATGGTAGACAAAATACATATTATATCAAAAACTTCCTCAAGAGACAAGAGGAAAAGGACAATAAAAACAACAACAATAAAAGCAACAACAATAAAGCAACATACAACAATAAAAGCAAAAACATTAAAACAACATACAACAATAAAAGCAACAACAGTAACGCATGTGCCTTACATCACAGTTCCCAAACATATGAAGCAACATTTTACAGAATTGAAACATGAAGTAGCCAGCACCTGATAACAGTAAATGACTTTTATATCTGACTTTTAGTAATGTAAATTAAAAAACAAACATAAGATGGATAAGTAAACAGAGGATTTCAACAACACGATAGGACAATTAGACCTAACAGTCACATTTATATTTCTCCACTCAACAGTAGAATCTGCAATACTTTTAATCACACATGCCACAATATTCCAGATAGACCACCTGTTAAGTTAAAAGATGAATCTTAGCAAATTTAAGCAGATGGAATTACAAAATTATTGCTAACTATGATACAATAAAACAAGAAGTTAAAAACACTAGCATGTCAAAGAATAAGTAAAAATTAAACAACAAATTCTCAAACACACTCTTGTTCAAGAGGTTATAGACTTAATATTGTTAACATGTCACTACTACCGAAAGTGGTTAACTGATTCAATGCTCTTTCTTTTCTTTTCTTTCTTTTTATCTTGAGATGGGTTTTTGCTCTTGTTGCCCAGGGTGGAGTGCAATGGTGTGATCTCAGTTCACTGCAACCTCCACCTCCTGGGTTCAAGCCATTCTCCTGCCTCAGCCTCCTGAGTAGCTGGGATTACAGGCAAGTGCCACCAAACCTGGCTAATTTTGTATTTTTAGTAGAGATGGGGTTTCTCCATGGCTGGTCTCGAACTCCTGACCTCAGGTGATCCACCTTCCTCAGCCTCCCAAAGTGCTGGGATTACAGGCATGAACCACCACCCCTAGTTGATTCAATATACTTTCTATCAAAATACCAATGAAACTTTTTGCAGAAGTTTTAAAATATTCTATAATTTTTATGGAATTTCAAGTGATTGCAAACAGCCAAATAATATTGGGAAAAAAATATAAAGATAGAGGCATCATACTTTCTAATTTCAAAACATACTATAAAGGTATAGTAATCAAAACTGTTTGGTACTGACAGAAAGACAAATGAATGATGAAACAGATGAGTGTTCGGACATAAGACATCATGGGTTTAGTAAACTTATTTTTAAAAACTGTTCCAAGAATTCACAATAAGGAAAGAACAGTCTCTTCAACAAACAGTATTGAGAATAATAAAAATTTACAAGGAAAAAATAACAAAGTTACACCTTACCTTGCACCAATAAAAACATAAACTCAAGGCCGGGTGTGGTGGCTCACACCTGTAATCCCAGCACTTTGGGAGGCTGAGGCAAGTGAATCACAAGGTCAGGAGATCAAGACCATCCTAGCCAACATGGGGAAACCACGTCTCTACTAAAAATACAAACAAAAATTAGTTGGCGGTGGTGGCACACGCCTATAGTTCCAGCCACTCAGGAGACTGAGGCAGGAGAATCTCTGGAACCCGGGAGGCAAGAGTTTCAGTGAGCGGAGATCACACCACTGTGCTTCAGCCTGGTGACAGAGAAAGACTCCACCTCATATAAAGAAATAAACTCAAAATAACTAATTTTTGTTAGTTATTAAAATGGAATTTTAAACTTTATTTTTCAGATATTTTGCTATCAGCATACAGAAAGCTGCTACTCTGTTGATTTTCTGCAATGTTACAGAATTTGTTTAGTAGTTCTATTAGGTTTTGGTGTAGTGTTTAGAGTTTTTCACATATAAGATTATTTTGTCCACAATCAGAGACCATTTGACTTCATCCTTTCCTATTAGTATGAGTTTATTTCTACCTCTTGCATAATGTCCTTGGCTAAGACTTCCAGTACTATGTTGAATAAGAGGTCTGAAAGTGGGGATGATTAGTCTTGTTCCGGATCTCAGAGAGAAAGCTTTCAGCTTTTCCTTATTCAGTATAATGTTAGCATTGCTTTGTCATAAATGGCCTTTATTGTGTTGAGAAACATAACTTCTATTCCTAATTTGTTGAGAGTTTTCATCATAATGAATGTTGAATTTCATCCAACGTTTCTTCTGCATAAGCAAAAGGTACAAAAATTAAAATACTTAATGTGATGGTTAATACTGGCTGTCAAATTGATTGGATTGGAGGATAGAAAGCATTGATCCTGGGTGTGCCTGTGAGGGTGTTGACAAACGAGATTAACATTTGAGTCAATGGGCTGGGAAAGGGAGGCCCACTCTTAATTGGGTGAGCGCCATCTAATAAGCTGCCAATGAATATAAAGCAGGCAGGAAAACGTAAAAAGGAGAGACTGGCCTAAGCTCCCAGTCTACATCTTTCTCCTGTGCTGGACGTTTCCAGCCCTCAAACACCAGACTCCAAGTTCTTCAGCTTTGGGACGTGGACTGCCTCTCCTTGCTCCTAAAACTTGCAGACAACCTATTGTGAGATCTTGTGATCTCTCTAGGGAGCCCGACTAATACACCTAGCAACAAACTTAACTTAAAAGGTACAAGATCTCTACTCTGAAAATGACAAAACATGGATAAAAAATATAAAATACAAATGAATAAATGAAAAAATCTTGTGTTTATACACTGGAAGAATACTGTTAATTACCCAAAGTGATCTAGAGACTAACGTGATTTTTATCAAAATATCAATGACATTTTTTCACAGAAATAGAAAAAATATTTTAAATTTATGTGGATCCACAAAAAACTCTGAATAGACAAATAACTTTGAGCAAAATAAGCAAAGCTAAAGGCATCACTTTATCAAACTTCAAAACTTGCTACAAAGCTATAGTAACCAAAACAGCACTGTACTGGCATAAAAACAAACACATAGACTAATGTGCCCAAGAAGCCCAGAAGTTAGTTTATGCACCTAAAGCCAACTGATTGTCAACAAAATTGCCAAGAACACACTTTAGGGAAAAGCTAATTTCTTCAATAAATGATGCAGGGCCATTTAAATATTTAAATTCAGAAAAATTATACTAGACCCCTGTGCCTTGCCATATATGAAAATCAATTCAAACTAAAGACTTAAATGTAATGCTATCAATTATGAAACTATTAGAGAAAAACTAAAAAATGCTTTATAACATTCGACGGGGAAAGGATTATTAAAATAACATGTCAAAACATAGGCAACAAAATCAAAAATAAGCAAACAACATTATGTCAAACTAAAATGCTTTTCCATATTAAAAAAACTAAAAGATTGAAGAGACAGCTTAGGCAATAAAAGAAAATGCTTTCAGGCTATACATATGACAAAAGGCTAATATTCAGAATAAATAAGAAACTTTAAAATCTCAAAATAAAATACACTTATAATCTAATTAAAAAATGCAAAACATCTTAATAGATGTTTGTCAAAAAGTGATACAAAAATGGCTAACTGGAACATAAAAATATGTTCTACATTACTAATCACTAAGGAAATGAAAATCCAAACCACAATGAGGTACCGCCTCACTCCCATTTAGAATGGCTATAATAAAAATAAATAAATAAATAAAACAAGTACTAATGAGGATATAAAATGAGTGAATGTATACATTGTTGGTGGAATTGTAAATTAGTATGGCCACTATAGAAAATACTATGGAGGTTTCTGAAAGAAATTAAAAATAGATGTATTACATGATCCAGCAATTTTACTCCTGCATGTATATACAAAAGAAAGGATATCACTGTGTCAAAAAGATATTTGCATTTCCATGTTAGTTACAGAACTAGTTATAATAGCTTATATATGGAATCAATTCAAATGTACAGCAACAGATAAATGGATAAGGAAAATGTACTATATATGCACAGTGAAATACTATTCAGCTATAAGAAAGGATAAAATTCTGTCAGTTAAAAGAGCATGGATGAACCTTGAGCATACCATGTTAAGTAAAATAAGCCACATAGAGAAACACAAATACTTTATGATCTTATTATCTCACTCATTTGAGGAACCTGAAAAAAAGGGTTGATATAAGCAAAGAGTACAACAGGGGTTCCCAGAGACTGAAGCAGGGAGATGGGAAAAGGCAGCTTCAAAAGTATTGTGTTACAATTAGATAGGAGAAATAAGTTTTTGTTTTTTGTTACACGGCAGAATAATAATAATTAATGAAAAGTTATCTCAAATTACAAAATAGCTAAAAGAGACCAGTTGTGGTGGCACATTCCTGCCATCCATACATTTTGGGAGAATGAGGTAGGAGAATCACTTGACGTCAGAAGTTCAAGATGAGCCTGGACAACATAGTGTGACCCTGTCTCTATGAAAAATTAAAACATTATCCAGGCATGGAGGCAGGTTCCTGTAGTCTCAGCTAATTGGGAAGCTGAGGTTAGAAGATTGTTTGAGGTTACAGTGAGCTAGGATTGCACCACTGCACTCCAATCTGTGTGTTAGAGCAAGATCCTGTCTCTAAAAAAAGTTAATATATAAAGATATAAAAAAATAGCTAGAGAAGAAGCTTTTGAATGTTCTCACCACAAAAATAACAAATGTATGAGGCAATAATTACACTAAGTACTCTGATTTTTATTGCTATACAACATATATACATAATTGTTTCCCCAAAATTTGTACAATTACATGTGTCAATTTTAAAATATGAAGACTATAATGTAAAATCTATAGCTGTAAAATTCCTAGCACAATACAGAAGGGTGAAGCTTCATGACAATTGGTCTCGGCAATAATTTGGGGGATGTAACATCAACGAATCAGACAACAAAAGCAAGGGAATACACATGGTACTAAATCAGTGTGTGAAAAATATCCCAAACAGGCAAAGCAGAACATGGAATAGATATATGCACATTTATGTACACTGTAGCATTACTCACAAACATACTACCTGGAAGCAAATGTACCTTTAAGGATGAGTAGATTCAACAAACAGGGCACGTATATTCACTGGGATAGCATTCAGCCTTAAAAATAAGGAAATCTTGAAAAGTACTACAATAAGGACAAATCTCGAAAACATTCTGTTAAGTAAAACAAGACAGTCAAAAAGGAAAACTGTATAATTACACCTATGTAAAATATTTAGTCAAACTCAAAGAAACCAAGTGTTGTAGTCTCAGCAGTGCACCAAGATGTAACAGTCTCTCATAGTCTGAGATAGCATCGAAAGTTCTTTGTTCTACTTCTAGGGAGATTAAGGAGCGTGAACACAAAGGTGAGGTTAGAGTGAAAGTTTGATAAGCAAGAGAAGAAAGCTCTTTGCCAGCAGAGATAGTTTCTGAATGGGGTGACCTCTGTGAGGCTGGGGCCCAAGGTTTTTATGGACTGGGAAAGGAAGAGAAGGAAATGTGCTTAGTTCACAGGCTGTCTTGAAAAAAGTGTGGCTCAGCTTGGCCCAGGACTTTGGCCCGGGACCAATCAGGAGCTGAAGGGATGATTCATACATGCTATTTAGATTGGCCCAGGACTTATCAGAAGCCAAAGTGAAAGCTTGGCGCAGGAGCTTGTCCCGGGAGCAATCAGGGGCTGAAGTAATTATTCACAGAGGTCAGACTTACAGTCCAAATAAAGGAGAGTGTCGACCGGAATGCACCAGAGCCCACTGTGCTTATGCCCACAGAAGGAGAAGAAACATTTTCCTGGGAGCGCACTGACTGCACAAAGTACAAAGGCGTTTCTTTTTTTCTTTTTCTTTTCTTTCTTTCTTTCATTTTTTTTTTGAGATGTACTTTCTTATTATTTATTTATTTATTTATTTATTTATTTATTTATTTATTTTGAGACGTAGTTTTGCTCTTGTTGCCCAGGCTGGAGTGCAGTGGTGCGATCTCGGCCCACAGCAAACTCCGCCACCTGGATGTAAGTGATTCTCCTGCCTCAGCCTCCCAAGTAGCTGGGATTACAGGCATGAGGCGCCATGCCCGGCTAATTTTGTATTTTTAGTAGAGACAGGGTTTCTCCATGTTGGTCATGCTGGTCTCGAACTCCCGACCTCAGGTGATCCGTCCACTTCCGCCCAAATTGCTGGAATTACGGGCATGAGCCACCATGCCTGGCCAAACAAAGGCAATTCTATGCCAGGTCGGTCTTGTTCCCTTATCTCAGTGAGCTGGAGGTTTGTACCAGTTTTTATCCAAATGGGCCAGAGGTTTTTCTGTCTGGGCAGCCATGGGCAGGTCTCCAAGCACAACACCATGTGCTAGTTACCTTGTTAGTGTCTGCAGCTTGATTTTTTCCAGGATTCCTTTTATGTTATGCAGGGATGAGATACTGACCCAAGGGCCAGGGACTTTCCAGGGACCCTTCTCTTGCTATCTAACTAAAGCAAGCTAACTAACTTGTTTCAGAATTAATGAGTATTCACTTTTAATTTTGTAAGACAAAAATTATCTAAAACCTATTGCAAAAAAAATAGAACTATACTTACCACTTCTAAACCATATACTTAAAATGTTAGAAATGAAAATGGCATGTTTTTAACTACAATTAGAAATTTAGGACTACCTAAAAGGCACGGTTACAAAATCTTCAAACATCCCCTTCAAATAACAAAGGGTTCTTCTCACATAATTTTTTAGATTTAAACTATAAGTTGATTGTAAATTTAAGATTATTTCCCTGACTACTCACCAAGATAGAATAAAATAATCACTAGAAACCAAGAAAAGAGGAAAATTTATAGCACTAATGTCCACATCAAAAAGCTAGAAAGGGCCAGTCATGGTGGCTCATGCCTGTAATTCCAGCACTTTGGGAGGCTGGGGTAGGCAGATCACTTGAGACCAGGTGTTCAGGACCAGCCTGACCAACAGCAAAACCATATCTCTACAAAAAAATACAAAAATTAGCTAGGTGTGGTGATTCACATCTGTAATCCCAGCTACTCAGGAGGCTGAGACAGCAGAAGTGACTTAAAACCGAGAAGAGGAGGTTGCAGTGAGCCGAGATTATGCCACTGTACTCCAGTCTGGGTGACAGAGTGAAACTCTCCCACAAGAAAAAAAAAAAAATTAGAAAGATCTGAAGTTAACAGCCTAACATCTTGATTAAAAGAACAAGAAAACCAAGTGAAAACAAACCTGAAAGCTAGCAGAAAACAAGAAATAGCCAAGATCAGAGTAGAGCTGAAGGAGATAGAGACACTGAGAACTCTTCCAAAAAAAAAAAAAAAAAAAAAAAAAACTCAACCAATCCAGGAGCTGTTTTTATGAAAAAAAAAAAAAAAATTAATAAACTAGATGGAACACTAGTTAGGCAAATAAATAAGAAAAGAAAGAACCAAACACAAATAGAAATAATAAGGGAGATATCATCACTGATCCCATGGAAATAAGAACAATGATCAGAGAATACTATAAACACCTCTATGCTCATAAACCAGAAAATCTAGAAGAAATGGACAATTTCCTTGCAAAATAAACTCTCCACAAGACTGAACCCTGAATAGATCAATAATGTGTTCTGAAATTGAGGCAGTAAGAACTAGCCTACCAAGCAAGCTGAATTTGACTTGAGGTAAAGAGGAGATAGTACATTTTCTCCTAAAACTATCCAAAAAAAATTGAAGACAAAGAAGTTCTGTCTAACTCATTCTATCAGGCCAGCATCATCCTGATACCAAAACCTAACATAGATACAACAACAACAACAACAACACATCATGCCAATGTCTTTGATGAACACTGTGCAAACATCCTCAATAAAATACTGGCAAACCAAACCCAGCAGCACATTAAAAAGTGCATCCACCACAATGGAATTGGCTTTGTCCCCAGGATGCAAGGTTGATTCAACATATGCAAATCAACAAATGTGACTCATCACATAAAGAAAACTAAATAAAAAAAACACATGATTACCTCAATAGATGCAGAAAAAGCACCCAATAAAATTCAACATTCCTTCACGTTTAAAATTCTCAATAAACTAGGAACTGAAGAAACATACCTCAAAATAAGAAGAGCCATATACAACAAACCCACAGCCAATATCATACTGAATGTGCAAAAGCTGGAAACATTCCCCCTGAAAACCGGCACAAGAAAAGTATGCTCTCTCTCACCACTCGCATTACAACTCCCATTCGGAAAACTTGTCCAGGAAAATCAGGCCAGAGGAAGAAATAAACAGTATTCAAATAGAAAGAGAGAAAGTCAAATTATCTTTGTTTACAGATGACCTGACCCTATATCTAGAAAGCCTCTTCGTCTCAGCCCCAAAGCTTCTTAAGGTGATAAGCAGCAGTAGCAAAATCTCAGGATATAAAATCAATCTGCAAAAGTAGCTAGCATTCCCATACACAAGCAACAGGCAAGCAGGGAGACAAATCATGAATGAACTTTCATTCACATTTGCTATAAAGAGAAAAAAATACCAAGGAATACAGCTAAGAAGGAAAGTGAAGGATATCTTCAAGGAGAACTACAAACAACTACTCAGAGGAATCAGAGTGGACACAAAACAAATGGAGAAACATTCCATGCTCACGGAGAGAAAGAATCAGTACCACGAATATGAGCATATTGCCCTAAGTAATTTATAGATTCAATGCTGTTCCCATTGAACTACTGACATTCTTCAGATAATTAGAAAAAAAAAACTTTTTAAAATTAAAATGGAACCAAAAAAGAGCCCAAATAGCCAAGCCAACCTTAAGAAAAAAAAAAAAAAAAAGCTGAAAGGGTCATTGCCTAACTTCAAACTGTACTAGAAGAGTACAGTAACAAAAACAGCATGGTACTGGTATAGAAACAGACACATAGACAAATGAAACAAAATAGAGAGCATAGAAATAAAGCCAAAAACCTACAACAAACTGATCTTTGACAAAGTCAACAAAAACAAGGAATTAGGGAAAAGTCTCCCTATTCAATAAATAGTGCTAGGATAACTGGCTAGTCATGTGCAGAGAATTAAGACTGGAACCCTTCCTAACACCATAGACAAAAATTGACTCAAGATGGATTAAAGACTTGAATGTAAAACCCAAAACTATAAAAACCTTAGAAGAAAAAATCTAGAAAATACCATTCAGGATATAGTCATGAGGAAAGATTTGATGACAAAAAGACCAAAAGAAATAGCAACAAAAGCAAAAATTGACTAATGGGGTCTAATTAAACTAAAGAGATTCCACAGAGCCAAAGAAGCTATCATCAGAGCAGAGAAGCTAGAGAATGGGAGAAAAATTTTGCAACCTATTCATCTGACAAATATCTAATACCCAGAATCTATGAGGGACTTAAAATTTACAAGAGAAAAACAAACAACCCCATTAAAAAGTGGTCAAAGGACATGAACAGACATATCTCAAAAGAAGACATACATGTGCCCAACAAACATGGAAAGCTCAACATCACTGATAAGTGGATAAATACACATCAAAACAACAATGAGATACCATCTCACACCAATTACAATGTCTATTAATAAAAAGTAAAAAAGAAATAAAAACAGATGCTGGTGAGGTTGTGGAGAAAAGGGAACACTTTTACACTGTTGGTGGGATTGTAAATTATTTCAAGCATTGTGGAAGAGAGTGTGGAGATTCCTCAAAGACCTAGAAGCAGAAATACCATTTGACCCAGCAATACTATTACTGGGCATACACCCAAAGGAATATAAATCTATTTTAAATAAACATGTATACATATGTTCATTGCAGCAATATTTACAATAGCAACGTCATGTAATCAATCTACATGCCCATCAATGATATACTGGATAAAGAAAATGTGGTACACATACACCATGGAACACTATGAAGCCATAAAATGTAATGAGATGATGTCCTTTGCAGGGACATGGTTGGAATTTGAAGCCACTACTCCCAGCAAACTAATGCAGGAACAGAAAACCAAACACCACCTATTATTATTCTAACTTATTAGCAGAAGCAGATCAATGAGAACACATGGACACATCAGGAAGAACAACACACACTGGACACCTGTTTCATGGCATGGGGGAGGGGAAGGAGAGCAGCAGGAAGAATAGCTGCGGATGCTGGGCTTAGTACCTGGGTGATGAGATGATCTGTGCAGTAAAGCACAATGGCACACGTTTATCTATGTAAGAGACCTGCATATCCTGCACATGGACCCCTAAACTTAAAATAAAAGTTGAAAAAAAAGCTTATCACATATGGACCACTGAACTTAAAATAAAACTTGAAAAAACATGAGTATGAGGTGGATTCCCTAGGTTAGACCCAAACTGAGGATCCTGAAGCTCCTGCTGGGGGATTTGGGGCTGGGGGCACCCTGGGGAGCTGCTGCCAAGGCCATCCACCGTCCATACAGGCCGCCTCCCTTCCCGGCCTGTGATGGAAAGGAGAAGGGGTATGTGAACAGCTGTGGAAGTCAGACTCTCGGGAACTGAATCAGGCCCCAGCCCATGCCCCCCAGCCCAGTCCAGCCAACGTGCCCGCTGTCTTCCCACCCAGCCAGCCGAGCCCTCAGGATTGTTAGATGGAACCAGGCTCCATCACCACCCAGGCATGGAGGGAAGATGCCCTGGTCCTTAGCAAGCAAGGCCTGGTTTCCAAAGTGCTCTCCGAAGAGGCCTCATGTTTGTGACATCTTAGAAGGTACCTTTCTGCTGTTCTTGCACCCAGCATGTTGGCAAGTCAAGTTCCCCCACTGAGTTCTCCACACATAAGGAGGGAGTCAACACCATTGCTAAGTCGGATCAGCTCAAGGGTCTCCAGTATCAGTTTTATCAGATCCCAGGGACCTGCCTGCTCCCAGAGGTGACAGAGAAAAATCAAGGAACGATCTGTATGGTCACTGACATGGATGAAACCCTTGTGCATAGCTCCATTAAGCCAATCAGCAATGCTGACTGCCTAGTGACTGTAAAGATTGAGGGGACCATGAGGCCTTATATGGATGAGTTCCTGAGATGACTGGAGGAACTGTTTAAATGTGTTTTCTTCATTGCTCTCTTCATTCCAGACTGAACAAGTATGCAGATCCTGTTGAGAGGTGACAGCGTGCTGGCAGTCCTCACAACCCTTGCTCACTCTCCGGGCCTCCTCTGCCTGGGCTCCAACTTTGGCAGCACTTTAGGAGCCCTTCAGCCTGTCGCTGCACTGTGGGAGCCCCTTTCTGGGCTGGCCAAGGTCGGAGCCGGCTCCCTCAGCTTGCGACGAGGTGTGGAGGGAGAGGTGCGTGTGGGAACCAGGGCGGCGTGCAGTGCTTGAAGGCCAGCGCGAGCTCGGCGGACCCCACACTCGGAGCCGCCGGCTGGCCCCACCGGCCCCAGGCAGTGAGGGGCTTAACACCTCGGCCAGCAGCTGCTGTGCTCAATTTCTCGCTGGGCCTTAGCTGCCATCCCACAGGGCAGGGCTTGGGTCCTGCAGCCCGCCATGCCTGAGCCTCCCCCCCATCGGTGGGCTCCTGTGTGCCCAAGCCTCCTGGATGAGTGCCGCCCCCTGCTCCACAGCACCCAGTCCCATCAACCACCCAAGGGCTGAGAAGTGCGGGTGCACAGTGCCAGACTGGCAGGCAGCTACACCTGCAGACCCTGTGGGGGATCCACTGGGTGAAGCCAGCTGGGCTCCTGAGTCTGGTAGGGACGTGGAGAAACTTTGTGTCTAGCTCAGGGATTGTAAATACACCAATCGGCACTCTGTATCTAGCTCAAGGTTTGTAAACATGCCAACCAGCACCCTGTGTCTAGCTCAGGGTTTGTGAATGCACCAATCAACACTCTGTATCTAGCTACACTGGGGGGATGTGGAGAACCTTTGTGTCTAGCTCAGGGATTGTAAACACACCAATCAGCGCCCTGTGAAAAAAGACCACTCGGCTCTAACAATCAGCAAGATGTGGGTGGGGCCAGATAAGGGAATAAAAGTAGGCTGCCCCAGCCAGCAGTGGCAACCCACTCGGGTCCCCTTCCACACTGTGGAAGCTTTGTTCTTTTGCTCTTTGCAATAAATATTGCTGCTGCTCACTCTTTGGGTCCACAATGCCTTTATGAGCTGTAACACTCACTGTGAAGGTCCACAACTTCACTCCTGAAGCCAGCGAGACCACGAACCCACCTGGAGGAATGAACAACTCCAGATGTGCCACCTTAAGAGCTGTAACACTCACCGCGAACGTCTGCAGCTTCACTCCTGAGCCAGCGAGACCACGAGCCCACCAGAGGGAAGAAACTCTCAACACATCCGAATGTCAGAAGGAACAAACTCCAGACATGCCACCTTTAAGAACTGTAACACTCACCGTGAGGGTCTGTGGCTTCATTCTTGAAGTCAGTGAGAACAAGAACCCACCAATTCCAGACACATTGTGATGGGTGTGCTGGACCAGTGTGAGGTGTTCTGGGGTTGCCTAGCCCATGAGTCACGTTTGTTCCACCAGGGCTGCTATGTCAATGACCTCAGCCATCTGGGGAGGGACCTGAGGAAAACTCTCATCCTGGACAACTCGCCTGCTTCTTACGTCTTCCACACAGAGAATGCAGTGCCTGTGCAGTCCTGGTTTGATAACATTCCAGACAGCAGCTGCTGCACCTGATATCAGTCTTTGAGGACATGAGTGGAGCAGAGGGCATCTATACTAGCCTTGGGCAGCAGTGGGCCCTTAGCCTTTCCTGCTTCCCAGCAATGGCCATCACAGTAGGGGATTTTCCCACACTGTGCCTTTATGATCAGCCTGAAAGAATGAAGCCTGGAACACCTACCCACATGGGCCTGGAAACAGTGAGAAGTGATTGAAAAGAGCTTTAGGACAGCTTAGATTCCCAGTGGGTGAATGCCAGACCAAGGATACCCAGAGCTACCTGCCATCAAGTTTTTGGGTTCCCAAGATGTGGGTGTGAGAGAAAGAAAGAGAGCATGTGTGTTTTGTGATGAACTGTGGGCCCAATATATAGTGTTTCAGTAGGGGAGAAGCTGAAGGACAGAGACTCTTCCCAAGTTAGCTTTGTCTCCTCTCCTGTCACCCTATGAGACCCTGAGTTCCATAGGGATGAAGACTGTTGAAGGCTCCATTGCAAACCTGGTCTTTCTTCAGTGCTGCAAGGCCTATGCCAAGGAGAAAGGAAAAGTATGCCTTTGGGTGTTCCAGACACATATCTTTCTGAAATATTTCTCCAGCCAGTTGTTGCAGACAAAAGACGATATTTCTGGGAAGATGGGGACTTATGTCCAGACCAGTACCCAAACCATCAGGTCTTGTGGCCTAAAGGCTATGCTTACTTAAGTCCAGCCAAGTGCCTGGGATGGATCCTTTCTGCATCTCCTCAAGACTCACCACTTAGGCATAGCCTCAAACCTGTGGGGAAGGAAGTTGTCTCCCCACCCTGCAAGAGGACAAATAACTGATTTCTCTTCTTTCGACTCTGTTTTAAAATTCTCTTAAAAAAAAAAAAAAAGCCTATCTGAAACTGAAAAGAAAAAAACAAAAAAACAAGGAAAAAGATGTCATACTTACATAAGTGAAAAACATACAGATATATCTATAAGCAACAAACACAGCTAATTCACACATATATTAAACATCACATTGAGATAAAGTGTACCGAGCTAAAAATTATCTTTCAACTGATGATATCAAGCTTTAAAATAAAAATACATTTAACTGATCTGAGAAAACATAACTCCCAAGAAAAGAAACACAATAACACGGACTTGAAAATAAGAAGAGAGATTTTCGTGCATAAAATCCTGAATACAACATAGATTTACAATGGAAAATAACCGTTTTTTTTTTTATTTTTTTTTTGAGACAGAGTCTTGCCCTGTTGCCCAGGCTGGAGTGCAGTGGCGCGATCTCGGCTCACTGCAAACTCTGTCCACTGAGTTCACGCCATTCTCCTGCCTCAGCCTCCTGAGTAGCTGGGGATACAGGCGCCTGCCACTATGCCCGGTTAATTTTTTGTATATTTAGTAGAGACGGGGTTTCACCATGTTAGTCAGGGTTGTCTCGATCTCCTGACCTCGTGATCCACCCGCCTTGGCCTCCCAAGGTGCTGGGAATACAGGCATGAGCCACCACAACCGGCCGAAAAATAATTCTTTAGATATCTACAGCATTCAACTGTGTGCACTCATGAAAAGCAGACAATTTAAGTCATTAGAATTTAATAAATTGCAGTAAAATTATACAGAAAATACATTACAATCATTAATAACAGGCTCTAATGAGAGGAATTTAATAAATAATCATTAAAAATACAGGATAATTTTATTATGTTCTCAATATGTTGCTGCACTTCTTACCACAAAACATAATAAAATTATATGACTATAATATAGATTTCAGGAGCTAAAAAAGCCTTATATTTCCAAATAAAAGAACAACATAAATTTTGCAAAATATGACGAGCATTACTGCAGTATAAAGTAAATATCTGGAATTAAAATATGCCATCATTTAGATACAGACTAAAAAAAAGAATATAAATGTTAATGATTCCTTTCTGCCTGCAGTGAGCTTAAAATTACAACCAAAAATTTTAATAAATATGTAGCACCTACAAGACATTTTATTAATAGCTTACATAATGTGGAAATTTGAGCAATTTATTTTAGAATTTTTGAATCTAAAAATCACCAGCTTGACATTCATTTGAGAAAGTGAAACATAAAGGAGAGTAACATAAGCAAGATGACAGAATGGGAGGTTCGGCATGCACATCCCCCACAACATAATGCAGCTGCCACGGGAAACATAAGTGCATTCATGAAAGCCTTAGAATCCAGTTCAGAGTTTGTGACACCCAGCTGGAGGCAAAGACCAAGGAAGACATCTTTAGAGGGTAAGCACTTGACCAAGTGGCAAGCTTGCCAATCATGGTCCTCGGTTCAAAACAGAATACTACCACATCTTACTGTAAACTTGGCTATGACTCATTTGAACTTGGTCCTGCCACTGCAAAAATCTGTGAAAAACACAAAAGAATTCATACTCATCTGAGACTTAGGTGACAGGCCTGCAGAACTTGGTTCTCTCTATAGTCCCTGAATCAGGCAAAACACACCTTCTTTCCTTCTCCAGCCATGGTCTGGAAGAAATCTTCACATTGATATGATGAAATGCTAACTAACAATATGAAAAATACTAAAGTATAAATGTCACTAAAAATGGTAAATACATACTGAAATTCAGAATACTCTAAATTGTTATCATCTTAAACTAGACTATTAAAATACAAGAGGTTTTACATAAGTCTCATGATAACCACTGGGGGAAAAAAAAACATAGTAAAGAAAAAGAGAAAGTAATTAAAGCATACACAAACAACAAAAATTACACATTGGATACAGTGGCTCCTGCTTATAATTCCAACACTTTTGGAGGCCAAGGTGGAAGAATCATAAGCTCCTTGGGTGTTGTGGTACGTGTCCAAGTAGTCCAAGCTACTTGGGTGGCTAAGGGGGGAGGATTGCTTGAGCCCAGGAGATTGAGGCTACAGTGAGCTGTGATATGCCACTGAACTTCAGTCTGAGCAAGAAAGCATAACTTTGTCTCAACAAAAATGAACAATACCACAGGAAAGACAGAACCAGAAAAAAAAGAAGCAAACTTAAAATGGACAGAAAACTACAAATGTACAATAGTAACTGCTTACTTATCACTACCTTACAAATAAAAAGATTAAATTATCTACTAAACAGATACTTCTGTAGACTGAATGTCATCTCCAAAATTTAGGATAAAATGGCCAATGTGAAAGAATTAAGAGGTGGAACCTTTAAAAATTAATTAAGCTATAAGCACTCTGCCCTCATGAATGGATTAATGTTCTTATTATGGGAATGGGCTAATTTTAACAAGAATGGATCTGTTATATATTAAAAAAAAAAAGCTGTCTCTCCCTCACATCTTTGGCCATGTTATTATCCAGCAACTAGACCTTCAACAGATACCAGTAACATGTTCTTTTACCTTCCCAGCCTCCAGAATCATGAGTCAAATAAAATTCTGTTCTTTATTAATTACCAGTCTGTGATATTCTGTTATAACAGCCAAAAGAGACTAAAGCAGACAGAGTGGATAAATGAAACTTTTAAACCTCGTAATATGCTGCTTACAAGAGACTCAATTATGAATTAAGAGCATAGGCTAAAAGTGAAAGGATAGAAAATGATATTCCATGCAAATAATAGCCAAAGGAGTTCAATGGTAGTTATGCTTAAATTAGACAAAATAGACTTTCTAGCAATGTCTCTCACAAGCATGAAATGAGTTTACCATACAATAATAATAGAGGTTAATTTGTCAAGTGAATATAGCTATATATATTTATGCACCCAAAAGGGAGGCTTCTAAATATAAAAAGCAAATATGGGCAGAACTGTAGGGAGAAGTAGAAAGAAATCCAATAATAGAAAACTTTAATGAAATGTATAATAAAGGACAAATAGTTAACAGCATTGTGAATTTGCAAGGGAAAGCTGTTCTCCTGTGTTGCATTTGAGAATGCAGCAAAGAAAGTGGGAACTGATAATTTTACCACAAGCCTGAGTTAGGCTGAAAAACAGGGTGGTCGATTAGAGGTTCCACTTGCCATATATTAAAAAAACACAGGAGAAAACCAGTCCTCCTCTGGAGTGTTAAAATAATTAAAGAGCAGAAAATTAGACTAAAGTGGCTCTAGTGTCCTGGGTTCATAGGTTAAAAAAAAAAAAACAAAAACTAAAACCTAACTCAAATACATTTCCTATAAAGCATTATCTTAGCCTGAAACAAAATGCACGTTTAACCAATGGCAAACATGCAATTAACCTCTGAATATGTAACCAGGACATTTCCATCTGGATAGTTCAAATAAGGTGACTACATAACTGGAACCAATTTTTGAATTTGGGCTGCTTTCTCATGCATCTTATGAAAGCCTTTCCTTTATGCCCCTCTGGTGGACCAGAAATCATGGCTGGGTGCTTTCCATTTCACCAATCACTGTTTGTTCAGATAAACTGGTTAACGTTTTAACATAGACTCCCGTTAATTTTTAACAAGAGAGACTGGGGACCCCACGGGCCGCAGCTCCTCCCACGCAAACACCCAGTGGCAGTTTTTCCCTGATGACCCACCAGGCCTCCCTGAACAATCTGGGAAATACTCATGGCTGTGGGCGCAGAGCAGGGCGCTGCCCAGGGACAGCACCGGATGGGCCAGGCCGGATGTGGGGGTCCTCGATGCTGGCCCAGCGGCCATCTTGCAGCCACAGGGGACTGAGGGCCAAGCTGCGGGAGACTCGGAGCTAACCGTGGGGGCCGGTCCTGCCGGTTTCACAGCCTGCTCTCCCCTCTCGGGATGCCGAACCCCGTATACTCACCATTTCCCAGCTTCCAGGATGTCCTGTCATCTTAACTGTGCGTCCCCAAGGACCTACAGATCACAGGGCAACAGGGGCTGTGAAAGAGTAGCCCGGGGCTCCCAAAGCGGAGGAGGCGAAAGAGGAGACGGATCCCAAGTTTCTGTGCCAGCGCCAGCGAGAGACAAAGACCCGCCAAACGCCAGAAGCCACGCCCTCCTCTCCTGTCCTCTCCAACTGCGCGCCTGATTGGGCTGTTCCCACATCAGTGTCAATGACTGGATAAAACTCCAGGACTCACCCACCCCCGCCTGACTCCTGCCCCTACCCCCACTCCCCCTCAGCCTTAGTGCATTTTTGTTAGTTTGTTTTACTTTAAGTTCTGGAATACATGTGCAGAACGTGCAGGTTTGTTACATAGGTTTACATGTGCCATGGTGGTTTGCTGCTTCTATCAACCTGACGTCTAGGATTTAAGCCCCATATGCATTAGGTATTTGTCCTAATTTTCTCCCTCCCCTTGACCTCAACACCCTAACAGGCCCCAGTGTGTGATGTTTTGTTCCCGGTGTCCATGTGTTCTCATTGTTCAACTCCCACATATGAGTGAGAACATACGGTGTTCTGTTTCCTGTTCCCGTGTTAGTTTGCTGAAGAGAATGGTTTCCAGTGTCATTCACGTCCCTGCAAAGGACATGAACTCATTCTTTTTATGGCTGAATATTATTTCATGGTGTATATGTGCCACATTTTCTTTTTCCAGTCTATCAATGATGGGCATTAGGTTGGTTCCAAGTCTTTGTTATTGTAAACAGTGCTGCAATAGATATATGAGTGCATGTGTCTTTATGCTAGAATGATTTATATTCCTTTGGGTATATAACCAGTAATGAGATTGCTGGGTCAAATGGTATTTCTGGTTCTAGATACTTAGGGAATCACCACACTGTCTTCCATAATGGTTGAAGTAATTTACACTCCCGCCCCCAGCAGTGTAAAAGCGTTTCTATTTCTCCATAGCCTCATCAGCATCTGTTGTTCCTGACATTTTAATAACTGCCATTCCAAATGGTGTGAGATGGTATCCCATTGTGGTTTTGATTTGCATTTCTCTAATCATCAGTGATGATGAGCTTTTTTCTTTTTCCTTTTTGTGTGTTTGTTGACCACATAAATGTCTTCTTCTTCTTCTTCTTCTTCTTCTTCTTCTTCTTCTTCTTCTTCTTCTTCTTCTTCTTCTCTTCTTCTTCTCCTTCTTCCTTTTCTTTTTATTTATTTTATTTATTATTATTTTAAAGACGGAGTCTAGCTCTGTCACCCAGGCTGGAGTGCAGTGGCAGGATCTCAGCTCACTGCAACATCTGCCACCCAGGTTCAAGTGATTCTCCTGCCTTATCCTCCCAAGAAGCTGGAATCACAGCCACCCGCCAAAACACCATGCTAATTTTTTGTGTTTTTAGTAGAGACATGGTTTCACCATGTTGCCCAGGCTAGTCTTGAACACCTGACCTCATGATCCACCTGCCTCCATGGCTGAAAGTGCTGGGATTACAGGCTTGATCAACCACGCCCAGCCAAATGTCTTCTTTTGAGAATAGTCTGTTCATATTCTTTACTCACTTTTTGATGTTTTTTTTGTGTGTGTGTGTGAAATTAAGTTCCTTGTAGATTCTGGATATTAGACCTCTGACACATGGATAGATTGCAAAAATTTTCTGTCATTCTGTAGGTTGCCTGGTCACTCTGATGATAGATTCTTTTGCTGTGCAGAAGCTCGTTAGTTTAATTAGATCTCATTTGTCAATTTTAGCTTTTGTTGTGATTGCTTTTGGTATTTTATTCCTGAAGTCTTTGCTCATGCCTATGTCCTGAATGGTATTGCCTAGGTTTTCTTCTAGGGTTTTTGTGGTTTGGTGTTTTATATTTAAGACTTTAATCCATCTTGAGATAATGTTTGTATAAGGTGTAAAGAAGGGGTCCAGTTTCTGTTTTCTGAATGTGGCTAGCCAGTTCTTTCAGCACCATTTGGTAAGTAGTAAATCTTTCTCCATTGCTTGTTTTTGTCAGGTTTGTTAGAGATCAGATGGTTGTAGATGTGTGATGTTATTTCTGAGGCCTCTGTTCTGTTCCATTGGTCTATATATCTGTTTTGGTATTAGTACTGTGCTGTTTTGGTTACTGCAGCCTTGTAGTATAGTTTGAAGTCGGGTAGCAAGATGCCCCAAGCTTTGGTGTTTTTGCTTAGGATTGTTTTGGGTTGACAGGCACACAGGCTCGTATAGTTGGGGTCACCTGCCCAGAGTATCACAGCTAATTAAGAAGTGAGCTGAGACTTGAAATGCACATGCTCCTTCCCTTACCTGGGTCTGTTGTATAATGCATCTTAGCAGCTATTTAACAGTAGGAATTAGAACATTTGGACATCTTTTTAACAACTTTTTAACCTGCATTTTGATAATGCAGGAAAGACCTTCATCCCGTCCCTGAGCCCCTCTCTCACCACGCTACATCCCACTGCTGACCACATTGTAGGGTAGCCATTAGGAATCAGGCGGGCAGTGGGGGCTGGGAATAAATAAGCAAGGATTATGCTGCCCAAATTTGCTCATCTTAGAAAGTCTCCTCAACCATTCTGTGTGAAGTGATTATTCCAGGGTAATTGTGGCCTGACTGCGCTGGATGTCAGTGTGACTTGTCTTTTTGAAAATCACTGGATTACTCTCATGAACGGGGGTATTTCTCTTTCTATTTGAAAACGGCCAACTGTCCTCTGCAGGTGTCCTGATTTGCTAGTTTAGACCCTGAAGGTAGCGGTGAGAAAATATTTGGGCCACAACAGAATACCTATTCTCAGCTGGAAGATATATAGAAATTTCTTAATAATATCTAACCATTTTCTCAATAACCATTATATTTAACATTGATAGCTTGGAGGGCAGGGAAGGACACAGATGACACAATCTTCAAAGTTTATTTATAAGTTTTTTTTTTTTGTTCTTGTTTAGTTTTGCTTAGTTTTTGGATACAAGGTCTTGTTCTGGTGCCCAGGGTGGAGGGCAGTGGCATAATGATAACTCATAATTTGGTTGTAACGGTTCTTTAAAATATATTTTTGCTGAGAGTGCTAGCTCACACCTGTAATCTAAACACTTTGGGTGGTCAAGGTGGGATTATCGCTTGATCCCAGGAGTGCAAGACGAGTCTGAGCAACATAAGTAGGCTCAGTCTCTAGAAAAATATTTAAAAATTGTCTGGGTGTAGCTTTGCATGCCTGTAGTCCCAGCTACTTGAGAGGCTGATTTGAAAGCATCACTGGAGCCTAAGAATTTGAAGATGCAGTGACCCATGATTCAGCCACTGCATTGACAGAGTGAGATATGTGTGTGTGTGTCTGTGTGTGTGTATAAAGAATTTGTATGTGAAAAAAATTCAAGCACAGGATAAAAGTGAAAGCCCACGGTGGGGGATGTGGAGAAAGGTCACTGTGGCTCCAGCAACTCAGTGAGACTTGGTTTTCCATCTTGAAGAATTGCCCATCCACACTGACACCATAGCCTAACATATGCCAGTTCTCACACTACACCTGCTGGGATACCAGTATGTAGCCTTTTGAAAAAAATAAAATCTTTCACCTAAGAGAAGGACAAGAGAAAACGAGGGTTTCACATCTAAAGCCTTCATTTTCTTTATGAATCAACAGCCACTTGTCATTTGAATTGTCCAGAGGCGACTGACAGCACCAATACACTTAATGAATCAACCAGGAAAAATGGGCCTCTCAGGTGAGGAGGAGGCACAATGGTCACAAAACCCAATCCGTTCTCAGCTTTGCATGGTGCTCGCATCTCAAGAAGTGGTGTTAGCCATGTGAACCGTGTTCACTGGACAAGGCCAGAGGAAAGAATATTTAGTACAACACAACTATGGGGCTGCAAATCAAACTGGTAGTGAGAGCATGCATGAGGCTTCAGTGGCCGAGACACTGGTGGCTACCCTTCGGTGTCACTTAAACCTTTGAGGTGAAGGACATCTTTTTTCCCAACTGGCTCAGAGAAACCAATCAACATTAAAATTGAGATTTGTTTTTCTTTTCAAAATTTCTAAGACACAGAGGACTCTAACACTCCAAAAGACATTCAGATATTCTTGCAGCTGAGGACTTGACTGCTCTGTAGAGGGATGGCAGAGCAGCAGCCACCAGCTTTAAGAGCTTTAAGCTCCTCCTCTTATAGGGAAAGGCCACCCCCACACAACCCCCATAACTTCATAGGCTCTGGCTGTTAGGTGCACCTGGGGGACTGTCTTCCTCCCATCTCATTAGCTCTCCAAGACAGTTCAGCTCAATCTAAAACCTACCCTAAGATGGCGGTATGTAGACTCTCCTCCATTCTCCCAGCGCAGTGTGACTTCTGGAGAGTGCTCCCCCATCGTCTTACCTCAAATGATGTGAAAAGAGCTGGTTCCCGGGTAGTTAGATGTTCAGTGACCTAACAGGCCCAGCATGCGCAGGGCCTGGCCCCACAGCCTGGCACCTCTCTCCTACCTGGCCTTCACTTCGGCCTTTTCTCTTCTGTCACCAATGTCAGGTGATGGTCACCAGTGCCACACTCTCATGAGCTTGGTAAGTAGCAGGGGTGTAAACCCCAACAGATTTCCTGTGACTCTACCCTCTTACCTCCCACTCAAGTGACATTATAAGCATAATTTTATATTTGATCTAATTTATGCATAACCTTTTTATAACATTTCTGACAACAGCCCACACAACCACATGAGTCTGGGTTACAGAACACACGGGCGAGGCTCGGGTAGCAGGTTTCACTTACTTTATTCCAATGTGAAATGAAGATTGATGATTTAAAAACAAGACAAAGTTGTTTATCAGCTGTGGGGTGGCTACACTTGCTATCTCATGCTCACTTCCTTTGAAACAAGGTATCTGGACAGACCATATTCATAAGTAAGACTTCGCAAAACCTCAGACAGAAGTTCCAGTCAGACACAGCTCCCTCAGGCTCACAGGGTGGCAACCGCCTCCATGTTAGGCTCTGACAGCAGGCAAGGAAAGGAGCACAGGCAGCAGGGGACAGGGAGGGTCCGGGACTGTAGGGATCCCCAAATGCCCCAGAGCTATTCTCTGTAGAAGGGCACACGCAGGTCTCACTGTGTCAGTGCAGTGGCTGAATCATGGGTCACTGCAGCCTCAATCTCTTAGGCTCCAGTGATGCTTTCACCTCAGCCTCTCAAGTAGCTGTATGGCAAAAAGCCTCCTACTTTTTACTTAAAACCTGGACTTTAAGCCAGGTTGGGCCTGGGAATAGTGGCAGCAAAAGCAGCAGCCAAATGTATACACTTCAGATGTCTACACTCATGGGCACAGGCATATTCCACACTTGCTGGAACACGAGATGCCTGAGAGGCACCTGTTTCCCAGCTACTAACTGATGTCCACACACCCCATTCACGTGTCTTCATTTAGGTTTCTGCATCGTATATTTGCTCAGCCAGTGCAAACACATCTTCTAGGGGGCAACATTAATTGCAGCACCTGCCCCACTTGTTCTGGGAGGGAGTCAAGAGGAATCTGGTCAGCTCCTAATCCCCCAGGACAAAGGTGATGCCCTCTTTTCAGGACTTACATCCAGCAGCGTCATCTCGGGATGGGTTTTTCAAACACAAGCAGCATGAGGTAGCAAGCATGGTGTGACAGGCTCAGGGCCATGGGCAGCCGGCTTCTGGAGAAGCAGCACAGGGCAGGCACATCTGTGGGTGGCACCATGACAAGCCAAGACAGCCTCAGCCCGTAATCCCAACAGCTCCAGCCCAGATGGCATTCAAATTTTCCCGGATAGTATTGGGGTGCCCGATGCCCATCACTCGCCCTCTCATTAGCACGGCCTTGTTGGTTACTCAGGGACTAAGGAGAGAGAGTGGGGGATGTAGATCCAGGGTGGGCACTGCCTCACAGCCAGAGTCCACCTGACTGCAGGCCAGCAAGCAAGCCCAAGCAGCTCAGCTCTAGTCACCTCTGGCTGCACTTTTTATGTGTAATTTACACAAAGGCAGCAAAAGGAGGTCAACATTAGCTGTTGTGACATGAAAGTCTATGCCTCATTAAGACCTTAAAATGCTATTGTCTTAAGCTATCTTTATTCTAATAAAATTTATACAAATAAACACATACAAGGTGAACTACTATAAAGGAAATATTAGGATTTTTTAAACCCATAAACAGACATGTAAACAGTCACTGTTTGATTGCAGAGAAAGTGAGCTTCTAAAGCAGCTGACCACAAAACAGCCTCACCAAACCCCAGGCAGGCCAGGCAGTCTGAACACTACAAGGCCACGTGATGGTCACAGAGGATGACAGCTCCCGTGAGTATTGCAAGGCACTGTGTTAGCTTCTCACTCACAGTCTCAGAATACCCTGTGAGGGGAGGCCCCGTCTCACTAGAGCACAGGAGGTTCCTGAGCTCTTCCCAGAAAATGGTCATCAAACGATGGAGCAGGGGGAAGCCCAGACAGAACAAGTGAGTCCCTAGGGTCTCCTTAACCTCCCTCAGCTCCTCCACATGGGTTCCTGAGGGAAAGTGAGCAGTCTCCTAACCCCTTTGTTAGGGTTCCAGTCCTGCAGGTCTGGACTCTCTCATTTTATGCTACCATAGGGGATGACAATGCAACCCCAGGCTCCTTTTTTGCCATCCCTCAATGCCAGGCCAGGCCCAGAGCCATTTGCTGACACAGCCCAGGGGATGCTCAAGGCCCACCTCGGCACAGTCACCTGTAGTGTACTGAGATGAGCAAGGAGGTGCAAGTAGACACAAATCCCCATGGGCTTGGCCTCAGCTATGTTCCACAGGCTCAGGGCCTCGCAGAAGAGCTCACAGCCCTCCTTCAGGAAGCCTGCAGATCACACCCTCAGGGAGCAGTGCTCAGATGAGCAGGCAGGCCCCACATCCCCCACCCCATGACGCTCTGTTCCACTTTGCAGGCTTCTGCATTGGCCAGTCCCCACTGCTTTCTGGTGAGATGTCCGAGTTGAAGTGAGTGTTGAATGCCACACAGCTGATGGAGCTCACTGCCTTGCACATGTTGTAAAACACCTCCTGGTTACAAGGGTCAGCTGTGGAGACACAGCTTGATGGGAGGTAGGCCCACTCCACCATCAGTAGTGCTGGGTTGCCCTGATCTGCACCTTCCAGATACTTGCTGAGATATCTGCATGCTTCTCTAAGGGACTGGGTCACGAGACACCCCTGGCAAGGACCAGCTGGCAGAACAGGCTGGACACTCTCCTTCAGCCTCCCCAGCAGCCCTACCTGTGCTGTCATCTGTGCTGATGATCTCCGTGGTAAGATTATGGGAAACTTTTACAGCAAGTTTTCCTTTCTCACTTCCCTATCTTAATAACAGCACTGATAACTTTTAAGCCCTAGAAAGCTGGAACTGCAAGACACATGATCTTCTGCCTTAGAAGGTCCATGTTTGGGCAGTGTGTGCCCAGGTGAGAGCCCCATGGTTGTTAGTGGAAGCCGGGAGCTGGATGGGCCTGGCCCCATAGCCTAGTGAAAAGTGGGACCCTCTCCTTCCAGAGCATGGAAGTCTCAGAGGCTGGAAAAAGGTGCCTGAGTGGCCTGCCAAAAAGCATAAGGCTAGAAGGGCTGGAAGGAACCCCAACAGTCTTCAAGGTGCCTGAGAGGGCTGGGCTCATTCCAGCTTTCTTTGCTTTCATCCTGATAGCAAGAAAACCTGCTCACACATGGCAGGCGGGCCTGAGGCTACCATTCCCTCATCAGGGGCTATAGGCACTTTAATGTGGCTCTTTCTTGAAGCAGCTGCTCAGGCCGGTTCTCGAAGAGAAGTTCCCTCATTATCCACAGGTTCTTGTTCCAGCCCCGTGTCTGCAGAGGGACTAGGGAGGGAGAAAATCTCTCAGCCTGTGCCCCACAACCTGCTCTGAGATATCTCTTTTGTTACTTCCTCACGGACAGCATCAAACTTCCAAATGAACAGACCAGCATGGAGCCTCCAGAAAAGTGCACAGAATTCTGTCTAGTACCCAGATGGAAGGGGGTTCCCAGTGAGGGCAGGGCCAGGCTGCATGCACCTCTTCAGGAATGTTCTCCTCATTGTCCAACTTCAAGGTGTGCATCCTCTGTGTGTATGCAGTCCATGGCAGGCTCTGCCTGGGGAACCGTCCAGCTGAACACCTGCAATGTGGTGGTGACCCTCTTGAATGAGTGGTTGTGGGCCCCATGGCAGTCATCAGAGAGGGAGATGCTTAGCCCACCAAGCCGAGAGCCCTGCCACAGCCTTCTGTGAGGCCTCCATCTGCTCTGGGTTCTTGCCCTGAAAGGCTGTCCTGAAGTCAAACAGAAGAAGGTGGGCCTCTCTTCCAGGGCTGCTCTTTATCCCACTGACAGCTCCCTAGAGGGCGACTAAGACAGCGGGGACAGATTCCTCAGGCAGAAGGACTGGAGTTTAGGCTGACGGGTTCATTCCATACCCCCACATGAGATGACACAAGGCAGGGGCTGTGGGACAAAGGCATTGCCTTTCCTTCTGGGATGAGGAATGGCATAGGAGACAGGGTATGGTGGGGCTGGGGTTGAGCGATGGGCTTCACTGAGTAAGTGTCCTGGTTATCTGTCCACAGACCCAGAACAAGTGGCATCCCAGGAGCCTGGGAGGGGCTGGCAGAGACTTACTGGTTCCAGCAAAAGCCCATGTGGATGCAGCAATGCTGCCTGCTGGTCCTTGGCTGTAATTACAAACAGGTACTTGAGGTCCCCATGCATCTTGCAGCTCTCAGAGAGTGTGTTCCAGCTGCTCATGGTAGGCACTTTTAGTCACTGAACGTGCTTCAGGAATGGCCAAGCTTGATTAAGCCAGGCGTCTTGCTGTGAGACCCTCCACCCAACTGAGGACCCTCTTCCTTGTTCCCCCTGGCAGTTTCACCTTCCAGTTCTGGTTCTAGAGACACGATGGCCCCTCTTGGGCCCCTGGGAGAATGTGCTCAGGTGACACACTGTCGACAGGGCCCATTTCCAAGCCATTCTTCCATTTCCCACTGTTTGAGGGGCTGAGGCCGGTGATCAGCACAGGGCCACCCAGGGCCAGCTGTCTGCACCTAAACATCATGCTGGTCTGGATGTCTCAGGGCCAGAACTCTCCAGGTGAGATGGCCTGGTCCTCAGCACCTGGCCTCCGTGCTCCTTTTTCCTCTGTTCAATCCTGGCCCCAATGCCTCCCGCAACTCTCAGGTCACCATTGGAGAAGATGCTCAGGAAGAACAAGAAGCTGCAGTCAACCCTGCTGAAGGTGGCATATGGGTCCAGGCTCTTGAGCTGGTCTTCGACATGGTACATGTGGATGCAGGCTTTGAGCAGTGTGAGTAGCTCTTTCCGGAAGGAGGGGAAAACGGTGTTTCCAGGGTCCTACACCCTAGAACGACCCATCTAGCACAGAAAACAGTTTGCAACGTGCTATCATGTGTGATTTTAATTTTCAACTTTAGGCTTTCATTTTCAATTTCCACAATAAACACATAAGGTGGGGTTCTGATTTCAACACACACACATTCTCTCTCTCTCCCTCTCTCTTAGAATCTTCCAGTGCGTTCACACTGAAAGCCAAAGTCCTCCCAGAATCTTGTGAGAACCTAAATGATCTGAATAGTTTGTCATTGATTTTGGGGATCTGGGAAAATCTCTGCACATTTCTGGAGACCGCTGTTATGCCAATTTTAATAAATCTGTTGTGCTTCAATTCAGAAGTGTGTGAAGGGAGTTGTGGAGGAATTGGCATTTGGGTTAGAAATTCCAGGAACACCAGAGACAGATGACACCTGTTTTCTGCTTCATAATGTCAAGTTTTACGATGGCTAAAACCTAATTCTACAAGAAAATTAGACTGAAAAACTTTATAGGCAAAAATTATCTTATTAAATAGGAAAATCTAAGTATTTTATTTTAAAATTTCCTTTTTCTTAGTAGGACCTAATCATAGAAATGTAAACTCTATATGCCAACAGCCTCTACTGTAGGATGGTTTATTGTATGTACTCATTTTACTGATTTCTTACAAAAACTTTTTCCGTAAGGGAAATTAGAATATTGTTCAACATATATTGAATTCACAATTATTACTTTATTTCTCACTTAGTATTTTATGATTCTGTCTTCTTTAATATGAAGATTACTATGACTGTGTTTTCACTTTCTGAATTATCATGTGTCACATTTGTCTGTAATTTCCTTTCAGAAGTTGTAAAATAGCATGCTCAAATGTATATATTATGTATAAATTATATAATTTATAATTTATTAAAATATTTGGCTTGTATGTTTAATTGACTCTAGGCACAATGTTACTATTAGCATCTTCTTCCAGTTTTCCCAACTTTTATTTGACTAATAGTACAATTTATTTCCAATTTTTATTTTATATGTCAATGTTTTATACTGTATTTACAATATTTATATTGTTACCATATTTAGAAATGTAAGACTTTTCAATTAAAAGCTAGATTACAGCCTTATCGTTTTGTGTAAGAAAAGCAGCAATGCATCAGTAGCATAATTTAAAACTTTCTCTAGTATTACTTAAATGCTTATTCCTTAAAACTTTCTCATCACAGCTCTTTGTATTAATTATAATGTGTTTTCTCTGAAATGTTGTTGCCCTAACTGTATCCAAATAATTCAAAATTCATACTTTTCATAGATTCACAGGAAGAGTTAAAAATTGTAGTTACCTGGGATTCTTTTTCATTTGGACACTATGTTTATTCAGGATTTTATGGATTAAAGTTTCTCTTAATTATGTTTTATAATTTTATGTTTCTGTATTTTTTAGAGTAGGCTGTCTCACATCAGTTAATTGTGTTTTTACTTTCTACCTATTTATTATGATTTTGAATTTCATTATTCAAATAAGAATTTGGGGGTTAATGTTTATTTTAACTTTGTTTTGCAATTTTACATTTCTGTGTTTCATGTTTTAGGGTAGGGCACCTTATATTAGTTTATTGTTTTAAGTTTTAATTTGTATAATATAATATTGTATAACAATATTCAACTCTGTATGCATTAAGACAGTGTGGGGCAGAAGTCAAATATGAACCATCCCTATGTCTTTTGTTAATACAATGATTTAACTGTTTGTTTGCCTGTATAAATATTGCCCCTATTTTGTTTATGACTTTTATATTTTCTTCTTATTTGATGGCCAATAATTTATTCTGTCTAAGTGAGTAATCATGGAAATTGTCTTAATTTCAACATCTATTGTTTATATTATCTTAGTGTGAAGGAAAGATTTATGTGATTTGAAGATAATTTTTCAGAAACTTTGTAACTCTGTCCCTTCGGGTGTCTTTTTTTTTTTTTTTTTTTCTTTTGACAGACTCTCACCCTGTTGCCAAAGTGCAGTGGCACAATCTTGGATCACTGCAACCTCCACCTCCCAGGTTAAAGCAATTCTCCAGCTGCTGCCTCTTGAGTAGCTGGCATTAAAGTTGTGCACCACCGCGCCTGGCTAATTTTTGTATTTTTCATGAAGCTGGGGTTTCACCATGTTGGCCAGGCTGGTCTTGAACTTATGGCCTCAAGTAACCTGCATGCCTCAGCCTCCCAGAGTGCTGCGATTACAGGCATGAGTGATCACTCTTGGCCCTTGGGTGTCATTTTTAATTTCGATTGTGGTAAAAATACATAACATAAAATTTAGAATCTTTAATATTTTTTCTTATACAGTTCAGTCATGTTAAGTGTATTTACATTGTTAAGCAACATATTTGTAAAATTTTTTCTTTTGCAAAACTAAAACTCAGTACACATGAAATGACAACTACCCATTGTCCTTACCACCTGGCTCCTGATAAAAATCATTCTATTTTCTGGTTCTAAGTTTCAATACTTTAGATATTACATATAAGTAGAATCATAGAGTATCTGTTTTATTGTGACTAATTTTACTTAGCATTATGTTCTCAAGATTCCTCTTTATTGTGGATGGTACAAGATTTTCTGCCTTTAAAAGCTAAGTAATATTCCATTAGTTTTATATTACAAATTTTATTTATTTATTCATTCTATGAGGAAAATTTGTGTTGCTTTCACCTATTGGCATTTCTGAATAATGCTGCAATGAATATTGGTATGCAAATAGCTATTTGCTCATATGTGTGAGGTTTACATGTGTGCTACCTTCTGTTTTATTGGAAAAATTGTCTGTGTTTATGCCAGAAACAAACTGTTTTCATTGCTGTTGCTTTGTAATGTGCTTTGAAATCAGAAAAGGTGAGGTCACTAACATTGTTTTTTTTAAACATTTTGGGGCTCTTTATGGTCGCTTGAGATTCCATATAATTTGTTGGTTCCTTTTTCTATTTCAAAAAAAAAGTTCTTAATTTAAAAGGGATTGCATTGAATCTGTAACTCGCTTTAGACATCATAAGCATTATTCATAATATTAAGTCTTACAACCCTTAAACATGAGCATGCTCAAAAGTGAGTTGTTTAATTTCCATATATATGTTGCTATTTTTGTTTTCTTCTGTTATTCATTTCTAGTTTTATTCCATTTTGATCAGAAATAATAGCCATTGAAAGGCTAAACCACTCTGGGAAGTGACCCCCATTATAGAACATTACAAAGAGATGTGAGGGCACCACTTCTGCCCTGATGGGCTACTGGGATGAGTTCTCTTAGATGACACATTGCAGACAAATGTAGGAAACAATATAACCCCTTTTTCATGTAAACTCTTCCCTATTTTTGTAGAGTATTAGTGATAGTGGTGGCTTTCAAGTCTTGGAGAAAGTCTGGCAGTACCATGAACCTGCTTGCTACAGATGATATCAGAGGGGAATAATTAAAACTATACAAACTGTAGTAACATGAATAAATGCAGCCTAGTGTAAAGTAAAAACAACACAAAGGCCTTCTCTGATATTTCTACAAGAATGTAAAAAGGGACTTTACACTTAACCAAGTTGCCACTGGGACCAGTTAAGGCTAGATTTTTGGGGGGTAGATCTGAGGGTCACTCATGGAAATCCCCTAGGAGAAAGCGCAGAGAAATTCCATATTTGGGTCTGGATCCTGGACCCATCCTGGTTTTGTCAGGTCCCTCTCTGTAGAGAACCCCATGTGCCTGCTCTCAACATAACTCATTGTATGCCATGCTTGGGGGGTGTGGTGAACCTGCCAGTTGTCCAAGGAGATGGGGGACTTGAACCCATCAAATATCTGCTCACTGATTTTAATGCAGCTCTACAAAGAGTGTTCCCAGCAGCGAAAAAAGTTAATTGTCTTCTTTGTTTTTACCACCAGGTGACATCTGCATTAGAAATTCTGTTTCCTAGATCAGGAACATAGGAGTATCTGCATAGACCCCCAGCCAATGAGGAAACCCGAGGACAGCTTAAGGCCTTGGGATTCACATCTGAGTAGACGTACTTGGTCCGCAACTCACAACTTTTTATTCCACCAACCGTGACCTGGGTATGAACATGACAGACCCACCAGGGTTCCTGTGTCTTAAAACCTGCCCCTGTGAGGAAAAGCCCCCTCCTTTCCTGCTCCCCTTGCAACACAGGGTAATGGTAGGCAGGGTCGGGTTGCCCAGATTAGATGACACAGGTGGCCTGGCATGGACGGACCTGCCCTGGGCTAAACTGTGTTACCTGTGGGTGCCTCTTGTCGAATGGCCAGTGGTATCAAGGATGTAGGCTGAGCCAGTATGTATACTGTCAGAAAAGGCTCTCACTTTGAGCCTTTCTCAGGCAACAGCTTGGGAATATAACACAATGAGAACACAGTGCCCTCTCAAGCATCTCCCAAGAAGTTAGCTAGATACAGGGCTGTCTCTAGAATGTGGGTTTCTGGTTCCCAAAGTTCTAAATTCTGTTAGGTTTTGTCACAAGGGAAGTCTGTTAACTTCTTCAAGGTTTTATCCCCTGAGCCCTTTTCCTCCATAAATCTACGCAAAGTCCCTGCTGGGCTGCTGATTGCTCACCCTCCTCTCCCATGTCAACTCTTTACCTGTAAACAGTTATGCAAACACAATTATGTCCCTTAATTCCCAAAAAGTTCTAAATGCAGCCAGGGCCCCAGGTTTGAGAGAACAGAGTTGGGTTAAAATCTTCTTTTCCTTTTCATTTCTGTGACCATATGAAAATGACTGTGTGCTTCAGGTCTCCCCAGCCCTGAAGTATGCATAATGGGATTATGCTAACATCAACTTCCAAAAACAGTCTTTGGTGATATATGAGATAGAATGAATCAAAATCGGTTGGATGCAGTGGCTCTTGCTGTAATCTTAGCAGATTGGTAGACCAAGGCAGCTGGAACACTTAAGGCCAGGGGTTTGAAACCAGCCATGGCCAGCATGGCAAAAACCCTTCTCTACGAAAAATCCAAAAATTAGCCAGATGTGTTGATGCATGCCTGTAATCCCAGCCACTCAGGAGGCTGAGGTGTAAGAATCACTTGAGCCCAGGAAGCAGAGATTACATTGAGCCATGATCCTGCCACTGCACTCCAGCCTGGGTGACAGAGCGAGACTGTGTCTCAAAAAATATATATATATATAATGTATATAAATATTTTTATTTATATATTATATATAACTATATATATATCAATTATATATAACTATATATAATATATAAACTTATACATATATATCTTTATATATAAAAGATACATAGTTTATGTATCTTTATACATAAAAGATATATATTTTATATATATGGCCTTAATTTTCCATTCCACAGCAGAAGAGGTTGAAATTAAAAGAAAATCAGATACTGTCTTCTGGCATTAAATATTCCAGTGCTGTGCATTATATTTAGAATCATATGTATATGCCTCATCTCAGCCTATGTGGTGGGCACCCCCAACAAAGTCTCACACAACACTAAGTTGTGAGTGACTCTGTTATTTAAAACGCAGCTCACCTCTCAGTGCCTCAGAAGCAGGTACTATAACACCGGGTTTCTAACAGAGAGATGGGATTCCAGCTCAAGTCTGTTTCCCTGTGCTTACTTAAAGGTAGTAATATTCTCAGAAAGGTTTAGGAGGTAGGTTCTGGATTAGTACGGAATTGCTTAAAGGAAAAATGTATGGAAAATCACTGGGCAATGAACAACTATTTTTTCTTGCTACACACAGATCACATGTGCAAATTTGGGGACAGTTAGTACAAACATGTGATGGAAATTTGGGCTCTGACATCAGTGAGCTTATTTCACACAGACTCCAGTTGACCATATTGGTTCCGACCAATTTTAGCCACTTTTTAGAAGTCTCATAAGTGGAATAAATTTCATTCTTTCAAACAAGTTGTATCTTTTCTTATCTGTCATTCTGCAAACTGAAGAATTTCTGTTAGTCATTGGATGAACTCTTTGGGGACCTGGTTCTAGTTTCTGTCAAAGGGAAAACAACAAATGTGATAGGTTATCACTTCTGACTTAGTTCAGACTTCTATACCAAAAAACATAGACTAGGCAACTTATAATAAAAAACATTAGTTCTAGAGGCCAGAAATTTGAGATTGGGCTTCCAGCATGGTTGGGGTCTGGTAAGGACTCTCTTCTGAGTTTCAAACTCCAGACTTCAGGTTGTTTTCTCATTTAGCAGAGAGAGGGAGAGACAGCCTTCTGCGGTTTCTTTTACAAAGCCCGTAATCGCTATCATGAAGGTCCTCATGCTTCGGACTTAATTACCTCTGACCTGCTAAGGCCATTACACTGGGGATTAAGGTTCTGGTATGTGAACATGGTGGGGAATCACATAGTCTTCTGCAACTTCCAAAGTTATATTTCTAAAACAGCTATTATTTTCCTCTTACTTGCTCTGTCCTGTGTGTCCTCTCTCAATCTCTCTGTCTCCCTTTCTCTCTTTTTCTCTGCATATGTCTGTCTATCTCTTTCATTTTTCATCTCTGTATTGTAATCCTCAAGATGAGGAAGTGATCTGCAGTGTCCTAAGATGCTCTAGGCACAGACCCACATGATAGAGAACTGAGGAGATGCCCAGGCCAATCGAGAGGAAGGAACTCGGGCTCTCAGTTCACACTGAATCGTGCCAGTTTCCATGAGGCAGATAGAAGGCTGATCTCTCCTCAAATCCAGCTTCAGTTGAAATCACAGCCCCAGCCTCGTAAGAGACCTTGAGGCAGAGGCACCCAACTAAGCTATATCGAGATTCTGGTTCACAAAAGTTGTGAGATAGTATTTGTTGTCAACATGTGCTAAAATTCAGGGAAATTTTGTCAGAGAGGGGCAAATGACTAATCTCCTCTTTCAGTCCCCAGGATCCTCCTCCCCTCTTTTCCTTTCTTTCTCAGGCTGCCTGCCGCCACAATTGTCCCGTTATAACCTCCTCTGCTGAACTCACCTGTGCCTGTGAGTCTCTTCACAAAGAGTGGCTTTTCCCTGACACACTTTGCACACCTGCGCAGGACTGGCTCTCTGTTGTCATTCTGGTCACAACATAATGTCACCTCAGGGAGGCATTCATGTCCCCTCCAGGCAACCTCTCCCCAGCCCTCCCTCCCAACATTCTACTTTATTTCCATTATAAAATGCTCTTTTCTTTCACATGTACTTGCTTTAGTGTTTTTGTCCTGCCGTCCTCAGACTGTGGGCTCCCCGCGGGGAGGCAGGGATAACATAATCATTTTTGGTACCATAAGGTGAACCTACCAAGGTAGCTGCCACATGGTGAGTGCTAGGGGAAGAGTCGCTGAGTAAAATAACATGGAAAATCACAAAGCCCTTCTTCCCACTTTTGGCCACCCAATAATGTGGAGATCATGAATGATAACAGGAGCTGCAGGACCTCAGCCTGTCTCTCCCCCGGCTCCAGCTGCTCCAGTAAAGCCCAGCGGGCATAAGAAACACGGGGTCTGCCGCCACCTAGAGGCCTCCACTAGCCCTGAAGTCCCAGGTGGAAGCATCACAAAACAGGCACCTGCATTGGGGAATTCTCAAGGCAGTGGCTATTCAAGGACCCCTGGGAAAAGGAGCAGTATCTGAAGACTCCAAGGGCCATAAAAGTAACCTCGGAAACCTCCCTTGATTCCTATTTTCCTCAGCCTCTTTGAGTGTGCTGTGCACTCATTAAACACTTTAACAGCATTCAGAGACATTATTTTCTTCCACTTCTGAATGAGGACCTCAAGGACAGCCCAAAAATCTAGTATTTTTTCTGGGCCCCACACTCCAGAGCCCAGTGCATTGTCACATTCTGCTTTATTCCAAGTCCTCATCTGCCCACATCTCTAGGCCTCTCTCTTCTCTGAAGGACCTCTAGAACCTGAAAAGCCTCTTCCCAGAGTCTCAAAGCACAGTGAGTTACCAATGAAGAGCCAAGGGGAGCAGACACTTATGAGTATCTAGAATTCTTGGTATTATTCCTTTTGAGTACCCCTATTTATGAGAGAGAAAACGAAGGTTTTCTTTCCCGTAGCCTCACTTTATATCACATGGGGTGGTTGGGGGAGGGCATAGCTCATTTTAGTTCCAGGTGCCCATAGAGGTGGGAGTCACAACCCCTGTCCTGTCCTCTTGAAACAGCTGGGAAGATCCCCAGGCCTGGAAGAACCCAGGGAACCTGGAGGATCCTTCATCACATGCTGTCAGCTCCTGGTCATGTAGCTGGGGGAGTGGATGCCTCTGCCTCATGGCAAAGCTGCCTCTTCTATTTCTTCCCGTTTTGTCACTTCTCTGGTTTCCTCTTCTCTAACCTCACCTCCATGATCTCCACCTTAGAAGCCTGTGTGTGTGTGTGTGTGTGTGTGTGGTGTGTTTGTGTGTTCATGGCTGCACACCTATGTGAGAATAAGGAAGGGTAGAAAGCCCAGGTAGAAAGTAGACCACAGGGTTTTCCAGGACTTAAGAGCACTCATTTCCAAAGCAAACCTGATGGGTGGGGTGCATGCAAGGCCTTGGAAGCTGGATCCCTCCCTAATACTCTGTGCTCTTCCCAATTTCTGGGATATGGACCAGTCTTTGCCTTTTTTGGGGGCCTCAGTCTTCCTGTTGTAAAATGGATAGGTGGTCACAAAACTGCATAAACACATGCTCAGTGAAGACAGGGTGTCATGCTCAATACCAGAGAGAATATTGGGATGGGGAGAGTTTGAGCAGACTTTTGTGTCCACGGTAGCTCAGGCCTCTGAACAGGGCAAATGCAGGTGAACATAAAGCACGGCACAGCCAGGTTTTCTTACCAGGGCTACGGGATGAAACAGTGCACCACAGGCTCTGTTCTGGAGGCTGGTCCCGCAAGATTTTCCCTCCTTCAACCAGCAACTGTTTGATGAATTTCATGTCCTGTGAAGCCCATATCCACCCCCATTACAGTGAGGGGCACAGGGCACTAGACCTGTAAAATAATGTCTTTTGCCTTTTTTTCTTTTCTTTTCTTTTTCTTTTTCTTTATCTTTTTCTTTTAACTGAGTGGCTGTTTCTTCTTTCTCTTTTTCTGTTTTGTTTGTTTTTTAACTAATTTTTAAGAGGTCTTTACAGGTCAGCTGTGGTGCCTCACATCTGTAATTTCAACACTTGAGAGGCTGAGGCGGGCGGATCATTTGAGGTCAGGAGTTAAAAACCAGCCTGGCCAACCTGGTGAAACCCCGTCTCTACTAAAATTACAAAAAATTAGCCGGGAATGGTGGCACAAGCCTGTAGCCCCAGCTACTCAGGAGGCTGAGACAGAAGAATTGCTGAAACTTGGGAGGCAGAGGTTGCAGTGAGCCGAGATTGCACGTCTGCACTCAAGACAGGGTGACAGAGTGAGTCTCTGTGGAAAAAAAAAAAGAGAGAGAGAGAGGGAGAGAGAGAGTGCCCTTTATGGAAATGCGAGCCCATTTGTAATTTCATGAGTTGTAAATATTTATTCCAATTTGGGAATTTCTTTTCTTATTGTGGTGTTCTCTTTAAGTTTGTTTTGGATGTTATTAGTGTTTTGTTTTGCTTTGTTTCTATGTAACTTCTCCCTAAATTGATTCATAGATTTCCATTTTCACAATACAATATTTTGGCAGAAATCTTGTGGAAACTGTCTAATCAGTTTAAAAAATTTAAATACATATAAAAAATCGAAGAAATGTAAAAACTGTCCTGAAGAATAACAAAGTTTGTGAGCTTAAAATGACATATATTCAGACTTAGATTAAAGCTATAGTAATAAAAGCTATCTATGGTAGTAATGCAAAAATAGGCACAAAGAAAACTAGAAAAACTCGAGAGTCCAACTCAGACTCACACATTTGGACATTTTGTATATTACAAAACAGGCACAGAAGAGGAGTGAAGACAGTCTTCTCGGTAAATAGCCTTGAGTCAACCAGTTATTTATGTGAGAAAAAACACTCCTATCTTATATTATTAACAAATTCCAATGAAAAGTGGATTTTAAATTTTAAGGTCAAAGCTGAAAGCAATATTTCTAGTAGATAACATAGATAAATATGTCCATGACTGGCACAGGCCCAGATTTCTTGGGACACAAAATGCATTAATTCTCAAGACAAAAATATGACAAATTGGACTTTATTACAATTAAAACCTTCTCTTCATAAAAAAAACCTTCAGGAGAGCTGAAAGGCAAGAACAAAGTGGAAATCAACATTTGTCATATATTGATGTGGCAAAAGCCTTTTATCTAGTTTATTTAACTAAATCCCATCAATTAATAAACAAAGATGCAATACATTGAACAAAATTGACAAACATGTGACTAGGAGTTCCACATACAGAACCGAAGGGCCAACAAGTAGATGAACATATCCACATCCTTATGCATCAGAACAATGCATATGAAAACTACAATTGAATGCCACTATGCAATCATTCACATTTTTGAAAACTGACAAAATTAAGTACTAGTGATGATGTCAAGCAACTGGAACTTTCTTATACCATTCTGTGTGCAAACTGTTATAACGGCATTCAAAACCTCTTGAGTAGTAACTCCTTACATACACGATGTACATAAGCACACTCTAGGACCCAGCAACTCTGCTACTAGGTATATACACCCAATAGAAATGCCAGCATATTTTCCAATGCAGACAAATGCTCTAAGCAGCATTATTTGGTACTTTTCCAAACTGAAAAAAACTCAAATGTGCATCAGTAATAAAATAACTAAATAAAACAGCTACATATTCCTTTATAAGGGGACATTATACAGATATAAAATTAATTGGAGACATATTAAAATATACAAAAATCTAACAAATACAATTTAATTAGATTTAAAAGTCCTATCCACAGCAATCAGCCAATAGAAAAGAAAAAGGCATACAAATAGAAAAAAAAAATGAATTCTCTTTCTCCATTTGCATTATGAGTCACTACGTAGACAATGCTAAAGTCTTTCCAAAACTCCTTTTGGAGAAAACTTGAAAAGCCTCCTGAAATGGATAAGCAAGTAAAGTTTTAGGACACAAAACCAATGTACAAAAACCAGTAGTATTTCTATGCATCAACAACTTTGAATTCCTGAACATCTTCTGGTTTTATTGCATTTTCAATTTTTTCCCTCCATTAACTATACATTTTTTCTTTTTTCAGCTAAACTAATTTATTCTTCTGTATAATTTCACCTTGTTAATAAACCCCAGGCCAAAAAGTGGGAATAAAGTATTTGTCTGCATCCTGTTTCCTCATTTTGAAAACTAGTCTAGATGAAACCTATACTTGTTCTAGGGAGTTGGCATAGACAGCATTTATTTCCGTTCTCAGCAGTGATGCCAACCAGAAAGAGGGAGTTCCGCATTTTCACTTTGGTTAGACAGGACTCTGGATGGTTGTAGGGGAAAAGATCCAAACTCTAAGGGAGTCAAATCAGACATTGCAAAGATTTATACATTTACTCTGGGAGCAATTATTGTGTTAAATTTTGTGCAAAACACTGCGCAAAGAGCAATTAAAGTGAAAATTATTAAGGCATTACCTTTACCTTGGGAAACTCACACTAGTCAGATTCTCCGAACCCCAGAACATAACAACAACCTAGTAAAATCTTGTTCAGAGTGAAGAGAGGGTGGGAGCAGGAAGGTAAGATTAAAAATTAGGCTGGGTGAATGAGATAATTACCCCTAGTCAAGCAGTGGAAGTATGGATGGCTTTGGGATGGGTGAAGACAAAAGAATCTCAGCAGAGGGTGCAGATAAAAAAAGGCAGAAACACAGGAGGCTTATGCAGGAAGAGGAATGAGTTTGCTGGACTGGGGAGAGTGACAGTAAAAAGCAGAGGATAATAGGCATCTCTGGTCATCTAGGGACTATAGGGTGGATTAGTTGGGGGTTACAGAATCAGTGAGGTACTTTTTAACAGTAGGATGGGTAAATAAGAGCTATAATTTGGAATAATTATGTAGCAATGGTGGTTAGGAGCAATAGAAACTCAAAGTATTACATAAATATTTTTTTTCTTATTCTCCCACACAAGCGTTTTGCCTTTCCTCTTAAACTGAGAACGGAGTGGTTTGCTATGATGTTTTTAAATTCTCACAGACAAGCATTATTGTTTGCTGCCTTTTAGTAAAGGTTAGTTTTAACCAAATTAAAGAAGATTGAATGGATTTTCTTGCTCATAAGGGTTGAGTGCAATATCTCATACCTTCTACTAGTTTTCAGTATAACTGAAATAACAGAGTGTCAATACTCCATGGAGGGGTGTTCCGCTTGCTAAGGCTCCCTCCTCTGGGCTAGGCCTTCTACACCATGGCTGTCCTGCTGTGGCTGGAGCTGGAATTTGGATTGACCTCTGTGTGTCTTCCTAGCACACAATAGGTGTCCAATTAGCATGGGCAGAATCAAGCTCCTCCCTCTCACCATTTATTTCTCCATTTGTCCCTTGTTGGGAATGGAGAGTCCTGCCACTGAGTTCAGCCCAGGGTTGAAGTTCAAATCTCAGCTGATACTTGGTGGATGTTGACTTTTTTGAGAAGAACTTGGGAGAATAAAACATTATAAAGGCGCTGGCCAGGCACGGTGTCTCATGCCTGTATTCCTGGCATATTGATTGGCTGAGGAGATAGAATTGCTTGAGGCCAGGAATTTGATACCAGCCTTGTCAACATAGTGAGACCCCATTTATACAAAAAACTTGAAGCATTAAAAACATTTAGCCAGGTGTGATAGTTCCAAACTGTTGTCTCAGCTATGCTGGATATTGAGGCAGAGGATCACTTGAGCCAGGAGTTCTAGGCTGCGGTGAACTATGATCACGCTACTGCACTCCAAACAGGCAACCACGCAAGATGATTCAAAAATAAAATCTTTTATTATTCTTCACCCCTATAGTCTCTCCAGAACTTGTGCACTATGTAGCAGAAAGAATCAAACTCCCCAAGAGTTTGGTTCTTGCTCATGATTTGGTTTTCTGCTGCTTGGCTGCCCCGTCATGTCCCCATTTTGTATAAAATAAGAACCCCCCAGTGAAGTGGAGTTTCTCCCCAGCAGAGGGTCTCACCAAGGCCCCAAGACTGGCACTTTAGGTGGAGGCTTGCCTTTCAGCCTCTGAATAATAATTGATACTAAAATTGAGAAGTTTTCCAGACACCAGCTTCCTGAAAGGAGCATCCAGTCAGAAGACAAGATGAGGTCAGTAGCGAAGGTGACTCAGGCTGAGTGGGGAAGTCCACCAGCGTATCTGAAGACTGAGCTAGGGGAGGGTTTCCCTAATGTTCACTCCTTCTGCCCTCCATATATTCCTCTACTTTTCCCAAACTTCCCTCTGACATCCTCCAAACTTTCTATCTTCCCAGGGCTTTCTTGCCAGGGAGTCTAATGAAGTAAAAGCTTTAAAATTGCTTTGATTTTAAAAATAATTTTATTGATTCTTAAAATGTACCGACACAAAATTAGAATACCAATTCTTAAAATGCTTAAAAAGTAAATTAAGTGTAAGTTTACATTTAATTATCTTATTTGATTCCTAATTAAAATACAAAAAAAATTTTTTTTGAAACAAGGTCTTGCTCTGTCACCCAGACTGGAGTGCAGTGGTGAGATCTTGGGTTATTGCAACCTCCACCCCCTAGGTTCAAGCGATTCTCATGCGTCAGCCTCCCAAGTAGCTGGGACTACAAGCACACACCACCAATTGGCTATTTTTTGTGTTTTTAGTAGATATGAGGTTTTGCCATGGTGCCCATACTGGTCGCAAACTCCTGGTCTCAAGTGATTCACCCACCTCGGCCTCCCAAAATGCTGGGATTACAGGTTTGAGTCAACACACCTGACCTTAATTTTTTTTTTAAATTATAGGTAAATTTAAATTACTCAGAAATAGTCAGAATTAACCGTTGAATACCCTGAATCTTTTTCCCATGCATAAGCCTTTCTAATCTTTCTATTCAAATTTGGATTTGATTCGGTTCTAGTGTTTTAAAACCTGCTTTTTTCCTTCAAAGAAATGCAGACCATCTCACAGGCCAATGGACATCACAGATTTTCTGATGCTTAGAGGCTGACTGGTTGTTTATCTATGACCTCCCATAATGTACTTAAGTAACACCCTCTTGATGATGGGGTTAAGTTGTTGAAATTACCTTATCTTTTCTGAAGCACTACGTGGAAAATATTAGATCTTGAAAGAAACACATAAACCCATACCACACACTTCCTTTGAAATTCTCTGCTGCTTATTTAAAGAGATGTTTATTCCTGACTAAGGTCCTACATTACACTCTCTGTAGAACTTTTGGAAACTATAAAATTACAAGAGAATCAATAAAGCAATTTAATTTCTCACAGGATCCTGCTTCCTATAAGAAACACATCAATTCCTATAATTCGGCATATTTCCTCTCAATCATTTTTCTACACATTTTAAATTTTGAGCTCTAATGTATAAGTTTGGTTATACTTTTTAATGTGTGCCTTTCATTAATTTGTTTAATGTTATATCATCTCATAAGCACTTCTCCATGTGATAAAAAATTCTTTGTACATCCCATTTTTAATACATATATGTAGCTCCAAAGAAAAGGCATATCTTGTTTACTCTTCTAATCCCGTAGTATTCGAAAACTTTGTTTTTCCAATTCTTTGAGATAATAAACTGGTTAGGGTTAGTATTTTGGTCCCCATTTAAATTTTCTAAGAGTTGCCTTTCTACAAGTGGCTAAGTGACTGTTACAAGGAGAAGAGCCCTCCTGAAGGGGTGTGCCATGGGGTTGAGGCCTCCCTGCAAAGTGCCTTCCTTGTGGCAGATCCCCATGTGTCTTTCTAAAATCAGCACAGTCAGACTGAGAGTGATTGGAATTCTGCAGCTGTGAGCCCTCTCGAATCTTCCTTGAATTCAGATGCAACTAATCTCCTCCTTGGTGGACACCAGGAAGTAGGCTGTAGAGCATTCTGTGACCCTGAAGAATGACACGATGTTCTTGATGAAGAGGGTGGATATTCCTGAAGGAGAAATAATGTTTTCTCAACAGCAGAAGCAGATATCAAGTTTATTCAATGACTGGGTCATGGAAAATCCTGTTCTCTACAGGTTGATGCTACATTCCAGGCAAACCCACACCCTCGGTGTATGCCAGAGGCTTCAGAAACACAAAGGAGCTCATACAAGATGAGTGCCAGGCAGCTATGAAAAGAGCTGAGATTCTAAACCACAAATAAAGACAACTACGAATATAGGTGAGACGAAAAACTGTAAACCTTCTTAAGGGTGTACAACATGTAACAACGGCTCCCATTAGCTCATGTTTAGATACCAAGGAAATAATAGCAGGAATGTTTTATGTTCACATTCCAAACAAAACCTATTATCATTCTTTGTCAGTTCATTTAGTCCTGTTTTATTCATACTTGTTTTACTCTATCTTGTAAGCACATATGCTTCTCTGCTAGAATTAGAGAAATAACTTAGTCCACTGATAGTGTTTCAAAGTTATGTAAGTCATTCTATCAGAAGCCTGTTTATAGGAGTACTTGGTACAGTTATTTCTGTGGGTCTCTGAGATATTCTTATTTTGTTGAAGACAAAGCCCTGTGGCCTGGAACTGATTTGCAAGCACTTTTAGAAAAATAGCCGAGTACAACCAAAAGTATATACTAATGAAAAAGTAAGCCATGCTTTCAGGTATGTAGTTAGTTGATACACTAAAATATTCTTTTATATAATGCAAACAGCACTAACACTTTAAAAAATAGAATTATATTATGCACAGTGAGGGCACTGGAAATTTTTTTAAAAACTTTAATTTCTGGATTATTTACGTTAATAACAATTATGTAAAAAATTTAACCTAGGGGAAGCTAAGCATATGTCTTATTATTTAATATAACAATATGCAAAATAGGCACGTTTCCATATATGATACTAGGACATAAAGTGTGCTGATACAAATATGAAACATAAAATATAAGTAAGAAATAGAAAAAATGACCTGTGTATGTTGATTATTTATATGTGTTTATTACTATTTTTAGTAAATTAGATTATGTAAATATGTATTATATTTTAGGCAGCAGCAAATATTAACATATTTTTTAACGTGCAGCTTAGATAAGAATTGATGATTACAATTTATTAATATTAGCTACTTACGACAAACATTATGCAAAAAGAAACTCTAAAAATAATTTTGTATTAACTTTGAAAATTTTAAACTCTTTTCCACAGAAGTTTTTAAATTACAGACAATAAAATAGAAAGTTTATAAAAAAGAAAATGGTACTGAGAAATAGTTGGATTTTGATTCATTATTTTTTCTGAATATTAGTACTTGGAGCTTCACTGTTAATAATGCCAATAGGCTACACAAATTTTCTCTTCAGTAAAATGGCAAAACAGAAGGCATTCAATTTTTAAATATAAGATGCAATTTTATTACCTTTTTTCTATATAAAAGACACAAAATTTAGACCAATAAAAACAGAATTTCTTCCATGAAATTTCAAGAGCTGAGCTGAGCTGGGAAGAGCTAACCTGCTTAATATCAGAGTTTTAAATTAAAGCAAGAGGCCCACATCAAAGAAATAGTTATGCCTTTTTGTCTTCCTTTCTGTGATTGTGTTAAACAACAGGCAACATTAGATCAAGCACCGACTCCTCATTGTTCCATTTTTTCCTCATGGAAAAGCACCAGGAAAGGGTCAGATGGATCAGCACAAATATGGGGCACTGTCTCACTGCCGAGGTGGCACCCTCATAAAAAACAGGCCCGCAATTTTGTGGAAAAGGGGGCAGGAGAGCGTAGAGGAGAATGTATGAGCAAGATTAAAGAGAATTGAATATTAATAGGAATCTATAAAAATTATTATCAAAGTTCCATTTCTTCTCCAGAAACAGGGATCTGAACAAAAGTTTCTGAAGAAGGCCTCAACCAAAAGGCCCTCAGGAAGGTGCCCCTGAATCTAGATGCCTGGACTGGGAATGAAAATCTACATGTGAGCCTCAGTGGCCAAGATTTCCGGTATTGTTTATTTCAGCCCCTTAGAGACTGCAAAGCGCTGACATTTACATGCTTCTCCTACATGCACATGTCAGCAGCAGTGTGATAACCAATGCTTTCAAAGATATAATGTGGGTATGAGAGTTTCTGGCAAAAATTTAGATAATCTTATCTTTTCAACCTCAAATAACAATATATGCTGAGAAACTTCAAAGGCATGTACCTCCACAAATAATTTTTCAGGAAAGAATGAAGAAGCACAGCTGTAGAATAAAAATTAGGCTGGAAGTTGATGCTACCTGTGGGAATTGCTAATAATGGAAGCACAGGTTGTTAGAATTTAACGTGTCTGATTGGTGAATATAATGTCACAGCAGCATAGATGCAGGAGTACTTGGATCTGACTATGCTATCTAAAGCTAGAATCCTTAAATTTTCAAAAGTTTAGAAAAATAGGTTAGTTAGTGGAGGTGGTATTTCTCCTCTTTGGTTGATTTGGAAATTAACACCAATCATCATATGAGTTTCTGGTTTATATGTACACTATGTGTTTTACTCAGGACAATTTAGGTAAATATATAGACTTAATCATTTTCAGGTGTCTGTAAAGGGTGCATTATTAACATTACAGATAACTTTTCACTGGAATAAAATACCTCGACCCAGAATCTTCAATGGCCCCATCAATTGAGGTCAGTCATTTATAATAAAATGAAGTCTACTATTCTTTTTAAAATATACAAAGTAAAAGTCATCAAGATCAAAGTTATTAAGAAACAAAATTATAAGAAAAACACAGCTGTACCATTACATCTTAAAAAATCCCAAAATTGTATATATACTGTAGAAATAATATAAGTAGTTATAATGTTTAAATATATTAGAGGAAAAGTTTAAAAGTAAGATCAAAATAAGTTATATTATCAAAATAATTAGGTAAAAATTTTAAATTTAAAGGATAGAATGCATAGAAAAATTACATAATTGAAAAAGAAATTATGAATTAGAAGATATGATGAAGTGAATATTTAGAAGTCCCAATAGGGATAAAACAAATAAACAATATGAAAAATTAAAATACATAAAAATCTAAAATAAGTCATGTTGTTTAAGTGCAAGTTCGAATAAATAAAATGGAGTGAATGTCAAATAGGGAATAAAAATATATAATTATTAAAATAATTAATTATAATAGCTTAAAGGCATTCTGATCAAAAGAAAAACAATAGTTAAAAGCATAATACCATAATAGAGAAAATCACGTAAAGCTATCTAAGATAAAATTCAAATTAATTATAAAGCAATGAAAAGAAACATATTTCTCAATATGTGAATAAGATCAAGAATCCAATAGGTTATGGTTTTCAAAGTTCTGAGGGAAAAACATGTAAATTTAAAATTACATATATTTGAAAAGTTATTTTCAGGTTTAAGGACAAAATGTAACTTAATACACAAATACAATGTAAGTATAATTACGTCAGTGAAATGCATTTAAAATTTGCTGAAAATTTAGTTTATAAAGAAAAACACTCTTCCTGAGAACAAACATTGAGATAAAATAAATGTGCAAACATCTAAATAGATGGAAACTATATTAACACTGTGTGAAATTATACACAATATGTGATATATCCATGTGAAGCATATTTATGGAAGCATAAAAGAAAATGTTATCCCAAGAGTTATATTAAATAAAAGAGTAAATTTGATAATAGATGAGTAACTTATTTTATATCAGTATAATGTATATTTAAGAGATTTTTGTCACTAAATTATTAAATATTGAGTGCAAATCCTATATACTGTTTGAACAATACTATTATTTTCTCAGCAAAGATCAGCACTGAAAGACTGACTCCTGCATAGCCACTGACCACAGCTTCTGGAACAACAAAAGCATTGAATCATTAATCCTGAATGTGGCCAATGAGCATGAGATGAGGAAATCTACCCAGTTCATGACCACAAAGCAACTCACCAGCAGCTGGATGGCCTGGGTAGCTTATTTCTCTGGAGAGACTTAGACAGTGACTCCTGATACAGAGATGCTGAGACTGCATTTTGTGCCTGGAGGAGAGAATTACCACGTGTGATTGAGAGCATCAGTGTTCCTCCAGAAGAGACATTTCTAAATGCTGCTAGTGTGAAAACCGAGCTTATGTTCACGTAGCCCCTGGGGGAAGAAAAACAGTAATATTTAACAGTACATTTTAAGAACCAATAAAATTATTTTTAAAATCAAAGCAATTTTAAAGCTTTTACTTCATTAGACTCCCTGGCAAGAAAGTCCTGGGAAGACAGAAAGTTTGTAGGATGTCAGAGGGAAGTTTGGGAAAAGTAGAGGAATGTACGGCCCACTCAGCCTGGGTCACCTTCGCTACTGACCTCATCTTGTCTCGACTGGGTGCTCCTTTCAGGAAGCTGGTGTCTGGAAAACTTCTCAATTTTAGTATCAATTATTATTCAGAGGTTGAAAGGCAAGCCTCCACCTAAAGTGCCAGTCCTGGGGCCTTGGTGAGACCCTCTGCTGGGGAGAAACTCCACTTCACCTGGGGGTTCTTATTTATACAAAATGGGGAAATGAGGGGGCAGCCAAGCAGCAGAAAACCAAATCATAAGCAAGAACCAAACTCTTGGGGAGTTTGATTCTTTCTGCTACATAGTGCACAAGTTCTGGAGAGACTATAGGGGTGAAGAATAATAAAAGATTTTATTTTTGAAACATCTTGCATAGTTGCCCTGGTTGGAGTGCAGCAGCACGATCATAGCTCCCTGTAGCCTAGAACTCCTGGCTCAAGTGATCCTCTGCCTCAATGTCCAGCATAGCTGAGACAACAGTTTGGAACTATCACACCAGGCTAAATGTTTTTAATGCTTCAAGTTTTTTGTATAAATGGGGTCTCACTATGTTGACAAGGCTGGTATCAAATTCCTGGCCTCAAGCAATTCTATCTCCTCAGCCAATCAATATGCCAGGAATACAGGCATGAGACACCGTGCCTGGCCAGCGCCTTTATAATGTTTTATTCTCCCAAGTTCTTCTCAAAAAAGTCAACATCCACCAAGTATCAGCTGAGATTTGAACTTCAACCCTGGGCTGAACTCAGTGGCAGGACTCTCCATTCCCAACAAGGGACAAATGGAGAAATAAATGGTGAGAGGGAGGAGCTTGATTCTGCCCATGCTAATTGGACACCTATTGTGTGCTAGGAAGACACACAGAGGTCAATCCAAATTCCAGCTCCAGCCACAGCAGGACAGCCATGGTGTAGAAGGCCTAGCCCAGAGGAGGGAGCCTTAGCAAGAGGAACACCCCTCCATGGAGTATTGACATTCTGTTACTTCAGTTATACTGAAAACTAGTAGAAGGTAAGAGATGTTGTACTCAACCATTATGATCAAGAAAATCCATTCAATCTTCTTTAATTTGGTTAAAATTAGCCTTTATTAAAAGGCAGCACAGAGTAATGCTTGCCTGTGAGAATTTAAAAACATCATAGCAAACCACTCCGTTCTCAGTTTAAGAGGGAAGGTGAAAGGCTTGTGTGGGAGAATAAGAAAAAAACATATTTATGTAATACTTTGAGTTTCTATTGCTCCTAACCACCATTGCTACATAATTATTCCAAATTATAGCTCTTATTTACCCATCCTACTGTTAAAAAGTACCTCACTGATTCTGTAACCCCCAACTAATCCACCCTATAGTCCCTAGATGACCAGAGATGCCTATTATCCTCTGCTTTTTACTGTCACTCTCCCCAGTCCAGCAAACTCATTCCTCTTCCTGCATAAGCCTCCTGTGTTTCTGCCTTTTTTTATCTGCACCCTCTGCTGAGATTCTTTTGTCTTCACCCATCCCAAAGCCATCCATACTTCCACTGCTTGACTAGGGGTAATTATCTCATTCACCCAGCCTAATTTTTAACCTTACCTTCCTGCTCCCACCCTCTCTTCACTCTGAACAAGATTTTACTAGGTTGTTGTTATGTTCTGGGGTTCGGAGAATCTGACTAGTGTGAGTTTCCCAAGGTAAAGGTAATGCCTTAATAATTTTCACTTTAATTGCTGTTTGCGCAGTGTTTTGCACAAAATTTAACACAATAATTGCTCCCGGAGTAAATGCATAAATCTTTGTAATATCCTATTTGGCTCCCTTAGAGTCTGAAACTTTTCCCCTTCAACCATCCAGAGTCCTGTCTAACCAAAGTGAAAATGGGGAACTCCCTCTTTCTGGCTGGCATCACTGCTGAGAACGGAAATAAATGCTGTCTATGCCAACTCCCTAGAACAAGTATAGGTTTCGTCTAGACTAGTTTTCAAAATGAGGAAACAGGATGCAGACAAATACTTTATTCCCACTTTTTGGCCTGGGGTTTATTAACAAGGTGAAATTATACAGAAGAATAAATTAGTTTAGCTGAAAAAAGAAAAAATGTATAGTTAATGGAGGGAAAAAATTGAAAATGCAATAAAACCAGAAGATGTTCAGGAATTCAAAGTTGTTGATGCATAGAAATGCTGCTTATTTTTGTACATTGGTTTTGTGTCCTAAAACTTTACTTGCTTATCCGTTTCAGGAGGCTTTTCAAGTTTTCCCCAAAAGTAGTTTTGGAGAGGCTTTAGCATTCTCTACGTAGTGACTCATATTGCAAATGGAGAAAGAGAATTCAATTTCTTTTTCTATTTGTATGCCTTTTTCTTTTTTATTGGCCGATTGCTCTGGATAGGACTTTTAAATCTAATTAAATTGTATTTGTTAGATTTTTGTATATTTTAATATGTCTCCAATTAATTTTATATCTGTATAATGTCCCCTTATAAAGGAATATGTAGCTGTTTTAGTTATTTATTTTATTATTGATGCACATTTGAGTTTTTTTCAGTTTGGAAAAGTACCAAATAATGCTACTTCGAGCACTTTACTACATTGGAAAATATGCTGGCAATTCTATTGGGTGTATATACCTAGTAGCAGAGTTGCTGGGTTCTAGAGTGTGCTTATGTACATCGTGTATGTAAGGAGTTACTACTCAAGTGGTTTTGAATGTGGTTATAACAGTTTGCACACAGAATGGTATAAGAAAGTTCCAGTTGCTTGACATCATCACTAATACTTAATTTTGTCAGTTTTCAAAAATGTTAATGATTGCATAGTGGTATTCAATTGTAGTTTTCATATGCATTGTTCTGATGCATAAGAATGTGGATATGTTCATCTACTTGTTGGCCCTTCGGTTCTGTATGTGGAACTCCTAGTCATATCTTTGCCAATTTTGTTCAATGTATGCATCTTTGTTTATTAAGTGATGGGATTTAGCTTAATAATCTAGATAAAAAGCTTTTGCCAGATCAATATATGACAAATGTTGATTTCCACTTTGTTCTTGCCTTTCAGCTCTCCTGAAGCTTTTTTTTTTATGAAGAGAAGGTTTTAATTCTAATAAAGTCCAATTTGTCATATTTTTGTCTTGATAATTTATGCATTTTGTGTCCCAAGAAATCTTGGCCTGTGCCAAAGTCATGGACATACTTATCTATGTTATCTACTAGAAATATTGTTTTCAATTTTCACCTTAAAATTTAAAATCCACTTGTCTCGAAATTTGTTAACAATATAAGATAGGTTTATTTCTTTCTCACATAAATAACCAGATGACCCAAGGCTAATTACCGAGATGCTGTCTTCTCTCCACTGCTCTTCTGTGCCTGTTTTGTAATATACAAAATGTCTAAATGTGTGAGTCTGAGTTGGACTCTCGAGTTTTTCTAGTTTTCTTTGTGCCTATTTTTGCATTACTACCATAGATAGCTTTTATTACTATAGCTTTAATCTAAGTCTGAATATATGGCATTGTAAGCTCACAAACTTTGTCATTCTTCAGGACAGTTTTTACAGTTCTTTGATTTTTTAATATGTATTTAAATTTTTAAACTGATTAGACAGTTTCCACAAGATTTCTGCCAAAATATTGTATTGTGAAAATGGAAATCAATAAATCAATTTGGGGAGAAACACTAATAACATCTAAACCAAACTTAAAGAGAACACCACAATAAGAAAAGAAATTGCAAAATTGGAATAAATATTTTCAACACATGAAATTACAAAGGGGCTCATGTTTCCATGAAGAGCACTCTCTCTCTCCCTCTCTCTCTCTCTTTTTTTTTTTTTTTTTACAGAGACTCACTCTGTCACCCAGTCTGGAGTGCAGTCGTGCAATCTCGGCTCACTGCAACCTCCGCCTCCCAAGTTTCAGCAATTCTTCTGTCTCAGCCTCCTGAGTAGCTGGGGCTACAGGCTTGGGCCACCATTCCCCGCTAATTTTTTTGTAAGTTTAGTAGAGACGGATTTTCACCAGGTTCGCCAGGCTGGTTTTGAACTCCTGACCTCAAATAATCCACCTGCCTCATCCTCCCAAAGTGTTGAAATTACAGGTGCGAGGCACCACAGCTGACCTGTAAAGACCTCTTAAAAATTAGTTAAAAAACAAACAAAACAGATAAAGAGAAAGAAGAAACATCCACTCAGTTAAAAAAAAAAAAAGAAAAAGAAAAGAAAAGAAAAAAAGGCAAAAGACATTATTTTACAGGTCTAGTGCCCTGTGCCCCTCACTGTAATGGGGGTGGATATGGGCTTCACAGGACATGAAATTCATCAAACAGTTGCTGGTTGAAGGTGGGAAAATCTTGCGGGACCGACCTCAAGAGCAGATCCTGTGGTGCACTGTTTCATCCTGTAGCCCTGGAAAGAAAACCTGGCTGTGCTGTGCTTTATGTTTGCCTGCACTGGCCCTGTTCAGAGGCCTGAGCACGCATGGACACCTAAGTCTGCCCAAACTTTCCCCATCCCAATATTCTCTGTGGTATTGAGCATGACACCCTGTCTTCACTGAGCATGTGCTCATACAGTTTTGTAGCCAACTCTTTATTTTACAACAGGAAGACTGAGACCTCCCAAAAAGGCAAAGACTGGTCCAGATCCCACAAATTGGGCAAAGCACAGAGTATTAGGGAGGGATCCAGCTTCCTAGGCCTTGCATGCACCCCACCCATCAGGTTTGCTTTGGAAATGAGAGCCCATGAGTCCTGGAAAACCCTGTGCTCTACTTTCTACCTGGGCTTTCTACTCTTCAATGTTGTCACATAGGCGTGCAGGCATGCACACACAAACACATCACACACACACACACACACACACAGGCTTCTAAATTGGAGATCTAAAGTGGAGATTCTAAAGTGAGGTTAGGGAAGAGGAAACCAAAGAAGTGACAAAAGGGGAAGAAACAGTAGATGCAGCTTTGCCATGAGGCAGAGGCATCCACTCCCCCAGCTACATGACCAGGAGCTGACAGCATGCGATGAAGGATCCTCCAGGTTCCCTGGGTTCTTCCAAGCCTGGGGACTTTCCCAGCTGTTTCAAGAGGACAGGACTGGGGTTGTGACTCCCACTTCTGTGGGCACCTGGAACTAAAATGAGCTATGCCCTCCACCCACCACCCCGTGTGATATAAAGACAGGCTACGGGAAAGAAAGCCTTTGTTTTCTCCCTCATAAATAGGGGTACTGAGAAGGAATAATACCAAGGATTCTAGATACTCATAGGTGTCTGCCGCCCTTGGCTTTTCATTGGTAAATCACTGTGCTTTGAGACTCTGGGAAGAGGCTTTTCAGTTTCTAGAGGTCCTTCAGAGAAGAGAGAGGCCTAGAGACTTGGGCGGATGAGGACTTGGAATAAAGCACAATGTGACAATGCACTGGGCTCTGGAGTGTGGGGCCCAGAAAAAATACTAGTTTTTTGGGCTGTCCTTGAGGTCCTCATTCGGAAGTGGAAGAAAATAATGTCGCCGAATGCTGTTAAAATGTTTAATGAGTGCACAGCACACACAAAGAGGCTGAGGAAAATAGGAATCAAGGGAGGCTTCCGAGGTCACTTTTATGGCCCTTGGAGCCTTCAGATACTGCTCCTTTTCCCAGGGGTCCCTGAAGAGCCACTGCCTTGAGAATTCCCCAGTGCAGGTACCTGTTTTGTGATGCTTCTGCCTGGGACTACAGTGCTAGCGGAGGTCTCTAGGTGGCTGCAGACCCCGTGTTTCTTGTGCCCGCTGGACTTGACTGGAGTAGCTGGAGCCGTGGGAGAGACAGGCTGAGGGCCTGCAGCTCCTGTTATCATTCTTGATCTCCACATTATTGGGTGACCGAAAGCAGGAAGGACTTTGTGATTTTCCATGTTATTTTACTCAGCGACTCTTCCCCTAGCACTCACCCTGTGGCAGCTACCTTGGTAGGTTCACCATGTGGTACCAAAAACGATTATGTTATCCCTGCATCCCCGCGGGGAGCCTACAGTCTGAGGACGGCAGGACAAAAACACTAAAGCAAGTACATGCGAAAGAAAAGAGCATTTTATAATGGAAATAAAGTAGAATGTTGGGAGGGAGGGCTGGGGAGAGGTTGCCTGGAGGAGACATGAATGCCTCCCTGAGGTGACATTATGTTGTGACGAGAATGACAACTGCGCAGGTGTGGAAAGTGTGTCAGGGAAAAGCCACTCTTTGTGAAAAGACTCAGAGGCACAAGTCAGTTTAGCAGAGGAGGTTATAAAGGGACAAGTGTGGCTGTAGGCAGCCTGAGAAAGAAAGGAAAAGAGGGGAGGGTGTATCCTGGGGCCTGAAAGAGGAGATTAGTCATTTGCCGCTCTCTGACAACATTGCCCTGAATTTTATCACATTTTGACAACAAATACTATCTCACAATTTTTGTGAATCAGAATCTCGATATAGCTTAGTTGGGTGCCTCTGCCTCAAGGTCCCCTATGAGGCTGGGGCTGTGATTTCAACTGAAGCTGGATTTGGGGAGAGATCAGCCTCCAATCTGCCTCATGGAAATTGGCAGGATTCAGTGTGAACTGAGAACACCAGTTTCTTCCTGTTGATTGGCCTGGGCAGTTCCTCAGTTCTCTATCATGTGGGTCTGTGCCTAGAGCATCTTAGGACACTGGAGATCGCTTCCTCATCTTGAAGAATACAATAGAGAGATGGAAAATGAAAGAGATAGACAGACATATGCACAGAAAAAGAGAAAGGGAGACAGAGAGATTGAGAGACGAAACACAGGACAGAGCAAGTGGGAGGAAAATAATAGCTGTTTTGGAAATATAACTTTGGAAGTTGCAGTAGACTATGTGATTCCCCACCATATTCACATTCCAGAACATTAATCCCCAGTTTAATGGCCTTAGCAGGTCAGAGGTAATTAAGTCCTAAGCATGAGGCCCTCGTGGTAGAGATTACTGGCTTTGTAAAAGAAACCGCAGAAGGCTGTCTGTCCTTCTCTCTGCTAAATGAGAATACAACCTGAAGTCTGGAGTTCGAAACTCAGAAGAGAGTCCTTACCAGACCACAACCATGCTGGAAGCCAATCTCAAATTTCTAGCCTCCAGAACTAAAGTCTTTTGTTTATAAGTTGCCTAGTCTATGTTTTTTGGTATAGAAGCCTGAACTAAGTCAGAAGTGATAACCTATCACATTTGTTGTATTCTCTTTGACAGAAACTAGAACCAGGTCCCCAAAGAGTTCAACCAACGACTAGCAGAAATTCTTCAGTTTGCAGAATGACAGATAAGAAAAGATAGAACTTGTTGAAAGAATGAAATTTATTCCACTTATGAGACTTCTAAAAAGTGGCTAAAATTGGTTGGAACCAATATGGTCAACTGGAGTCTGTGTGAAATAAGCTCACTGATGTAAGAGCCCAAATTTCCATCACATGTTTTGTACTAACTGTCCCCAAATTTGCACATGACCTGTGTGTAGCAGGAAAAGATGGCTGTTCATGCCCAGTGACTTTCCATACATTTTTCCTTTCAGCAATTCCCTGCTAAACAAGAAGCCACCTCTTAAACCTTTCTGAGAATATTACTACCTTTAAGTAAGCACAGGGAAAGAGGCTTCAGCTGGAATCCAATGTCTTTGTTGGAAACCCGGTGTTATAGTACCGGCTTCTGAGGCACTGAGCGGTGAGCTGCGTTTTTAAATAACAGAGTCACTCACAACTTAGTGTTGTTGTGAGACTTTGTTGGGGGTGCCCACCACATAGGCTGAGATGAAGCATATACATGTGATTCCAAATATAATGCACAGCACTGGAATATTTAATGCCAGAATACAGTATCTGATTTTCTTTTGATTTCAACCTCTTCTGCTGTAGAATGGAAAAATAAGGCCATATATATAAAATATATATCTTTTATGTATACAGATATATGAAATATATATCTTTTATACATAAAGGTGTATATGTATAAGTTTATATATTATATATAATATATAAATATAAATTATATATACATAGTATATATATTTTTTTGAGACACAGTCTCGCTATGTCACCCAGGCTGGAGTGCAGAGGCATGATCAAGGCTCAATGTAATCTCTGCTTCCTTGGCTCAGGTGATTCTTACACCTCAGCCTCCTGAGTGGCTGGGATTACAGGCAAGCATCAACACATCTGGCTAATTTTTGCATTTTTAGTGGAGAAGGGTTTTTGCCATGCTGGCCATGGCTGGTTTCAAACCCCTGGCCTTAAGTGTTCCACCCATCTTGGTCTACCAATCTGCTAAGATTACAGGCAAGAGCAACTACATCCAACTGATTTTGATTCATTCTATCTCATATATCGCCAATGACTCTTTCTGGAAGTTGATGCTAGCCTAATCCCATTATGCATACTTCAGGGCTGGGGAGAACTGAAGCACACAGTCATTTTCATATGGTCACAGAAATGAAAAGGAAAAGAAGATTTTAATCCAACTCTGTTCTCTCAAACCTGGGGCCCTGGCTGTATTTAGATCTTTTTGGGGAGTAAGAGGCATAATTGTGTTTGCATAACTGTTTACAGGAAAAGAGTTGACATGGGAGATGAGGGTGAGCAATCAGCAGCCCAGTAGGGACTTTGCATAGATTTATGGAGGAAAAGGGCTCAGGGGATAAAACCTTGAAGAAGTTAACAGACTTCCCTTGTGACAGAACCTAACAGAATTTAGAACTTTGGGAAACAGAAACCCACATTCTAGAGAGAGCCCTCTATCTAGCTAATTTCATGGGAGATGCTTGAGAGAGTACTGTGTTCTCATTGTGTGCTATATTCCTAAGCTGTTGCCTGAGAAAGGTTCAAAGTGAGAGACTTTTCTGACCATATACATATTGGCTCAGCCCACATCCTTGATACCACTGGCCATTCAACAAGAGGCAAACAGAGGTAACACAGTGAAGCCCAGGTCAGGTCCGTCCATGCCAGGCCACCCGTGTCATCTAATCTGGGCAACCCGACCCTGTCTACCATTACCATGTGTTGCAGGGGGAGCAGGAAAGGAGGGGGCTCTTTCTCACAGGGGCAGGCTGTAAGGCATTGGAACCCTGGCGGCTATGTCATGTTCATACCCAGGTCATGGCTGGTGGAATAAAAAGTTGAGCATTGTGGACCAAGTGTGTCTACTCAGATGTGAATCCCAAGGCCTTAAGCTGTCCTCGGGTTTCCTCATTGGCTGGGGGTCTATGCAGATACTCCTATGTTCCTGATCTAGGAAACAGAATTTCTAATGGAGATGTCACCTGGTGGTAAAAACAAAGGAGATAATTAATTTTTTTTCTTTTTTCTTTTTTTTTTTTTCCTGCTTCACTGCTGGGAACACTCTCTGTAGAGTTTCATTAAAATCATTGAGCAGATATTTGATGGGTTCAAGTCCCCCATCTCCTTGGACAACTGGCAGGTTCACCACACCCCCAAGCATGGCATACAGTGAGTTACGGTGAGAGCAGGCACATGGGGGTCTCTACAGACAGGGGTCTGACAAAACCAGGATGGGCCCAGGATCCAGACCCAAATATGGAATTTCTCTGGGCTCTCTCTTAGGGGATTTCCATGAGTGACCCAAAGATGTGCCTCCCAAAAATCTAGCCTTAACTAGTCCCAAAGGCAGCTTGGTTAAGTGTAAAGTCCCTTTTTACATTCTTGTAGAAATATCAGAGAAGGCCTTTGTGTTGTTTTTACTTTACACTAGGCTGTATTTATTCATGTTTCTACAGTTTGTATGGTTTTAATTTTTCCCCCCTGGTATCACCTGTAGCAGGCAGGTTCACGGCACTGCCAGACCTTCCCCAAGACTTCAAAGCCACCACTATCACTAATACTCTAGAAAAATAAGGAAGAGTTTACATGAAAAGGGGGTTATATTGTTCCCTGCATTTGTCTGCAACGTGTCATCTCAGAGAACACATCCCTCTAGCCCATCAGGGCAGAAGTGGTGCCCTCACATCTCTTTGTAATGTTCTATAATGGGGGTCACTTCCCAGAGTGGTTTAGCCTTTCAGTGACTATTATTTCTGATCAAAATGGAATAAAACTAGAAATGAATAACAGAAGAAAACAAAAATAGCAACATATATATGGAAATTAAACAACTCACTTTTGAGCATGCTCATGTTTAAGGGTTGTAAGACTTGATATTATGAAGAATGCTCATGATGCCTAAAGCGAGTTACAGATTCAATGCAATCCCTTTTAAATTAGCAATGTTTTTGAAATAGAAAAAGGAACCAACAAATTATATGGAATCTCAAGCGACCATAAAGAGCCCAAAAATGTTTTAAAAAAAAACAATGTTAGCGGCCTCAATTTTCTGATTTCAAAGCACATTACAAAGCAACAGCAATGAAAACAGTTTGTTTCTAGCATAAAGACAGACAATTTTTCCAATAAAACAGAAGGTAGCACACATGTAAACCTCATACATATGAGCAAATAGCTATTTGCATACCAATATTCATTGCAGCATTATTCACAAAGGCCAATAGGTGAAAGCAACACAAACTTTCCTCATAGAATGAATAAATAAATATAATTTGTAATACAAAAGTAATGGAATATTACTCAGCTTTTAAAGGCAGAAAATCTTGTACCATCCACAATAAAGAGAAATCTTGAGAACATGATGCTAAGTAAAATTAGTCACAATAAAACAGATACTCTATGATTCTACTTATATGTAATATCTAAAGTATTGAAACTTAGAAACAGAAAATAGAATGATTTTTATCAGGAGCCAGGTTGTAAGGAAAATGGGTAGTTGTCATTTCATGTGTCCTGAGTTTCAGTTTTGCAAAAGAAAAAAGTTTTACAAATATGTTGCAAAGCAATGTAAATACATTAACATGACTGAACTGTATAAGAAAAAATATTAAAGATTCTAAATTTTATGTTATGTATTTTTACCACAATCGAAATTAAAAATGACACCCAAGGGCCAAGAGAGATGGCTCATGCCTGTAATCTCAGCACTCTGGGAGGCTGAGGCATGCAGATTACTTGAGGCCATGAGTTCAAGACCAGCCTGGCCAACATGGTGAAACCCCAGCTCTATGAAAAACACAAAAATTAACCAGGCGTGGTAGTGCACACTTTTAATGCCAGCTACTCAAGAGGCAGCAGCTGGAGAATTGCTTTAACCTGGGAGGTGGAGGTTGCAGTGAGCCAAGATTGTGCCACTGCACTTTGGCGACAGGGTGAGAGTCTGTCAAAAAATAAATAAGTAAAGACACCTGAAGAGAGAGAGTTACAAAGTTTTTGAAAAATTATCTTCAAATCGCATAAGTCTTTCTTTCACACTAGGATAATATAAACAATAGATGTTGAAATTAAGACAATTTCCATGATTACTCACTTAGACAGAATCAATTATTGTCCATCAAACAAGAAGAAAATACACAAGTCATAAACAAAATAGGGGCAATATTTATACAAGCAAACAAACAATTAAATCATTATATTAACAAAAGACCATAGGGATGCTTCATATTTTTTGCCTCACACTGTCTTAAGCTGTACAGATTTGAATATTGTCATAGAAAATTATATTATATAAATTCAAACTAAAAACAATAAACTGATGTAAGGTGCCCTACCCTAAAACATGAAACACAGAAATGCAAAATTGCAAAACAAACTTAAAAGAAACCTTCCCCGAATTCTTACTTGAATAATGTAATTCAAAATCATAATAAATAGGTAGAAAGTAAAAACACAATTAACTGCTGTGAGACAGCCTACTCTAAAAAATACAGAAACATAAATTCTAAAACATAATTAAGAGAAACTTTGATCTATAAAATCCTGAATAAACATAGTGTCCAACTGAAAAAGAATCCTAGGTAACTACAATTTTCAACTCTTCCTTTGAATCCATAAAAAGTATAAATTTTGAATTACTTGGATACAATTAGGGCAACAACATTTCAAAGAAACCATATTATAATTATTAAAAAGAGATGTGATGAGAAAGTTTTAAGGAATAAAAATTTAAGTAATACTAGAGAAAGTTTTAAATTATGCTACTGATGCATTGCTTCTTTCCTTACACAAAAGGGTAAGGCTGTAATCTAGCCTTTAATAGAAAGGTCTTACATTTTTACATATGGTAACAATATAAATATTGTAAATACAGTATAAAACATTGACAGATAAAATAAAAACTGGAAATAAATTGTACTATTAGTCAAATAAAAGTTGGGAAAACTGGAAGAAAATGCTAATAGTAATATTGTGCCTAGAGTCAATTAAACATACAAGCCAAATATTTTAATAATTAATTATATAATTGATACATAACATATACATTTGAGCATGCTGTTTTACAACTTCTCAAACTGAAATTACAGAAAAATGTGACACATGATAATTCAGAAAGTGAAAACACAGTCATAGTAATCTTCATATTAAAGAAAACAGAATCATAAAATAATAAGTGAGAAATAAGGTAATAATTGTGAATTCAATATATGTTGAACAATATTCTAATTTCTCTTACGGAAAAAGTTTTTGTAAGAAATCTGTAAAATGAGTACTTACAATAAACCATCCTACAGTAGAGGCTGTTGGCATACAGTGTTTAAATTTCTATGATTAGGTCCTACTAAGGAAAAGAAAATTTTAAAATAAAATAATTAGATTTTCCTATTTAATAAGATAATTTTTGCCTATAAAGTTTTTCAGTCTAATTTTTTTTGTAGAATTAGGTTTTAGCCTTCATAAAACTTGACATTATGAAGCAGAAAACAGGTGTCATCTGTCTCTGTTGTTCCTGGAATTTCTAACCCAAATGCCAATTCCTCCACAACTCCCCTCACACACTTCTGAATTGAAGCACAACAGATTTATTAAAAATGGCATAACAGCGGTCTCCAGAAATGTGCAGAGATTTTCCCAGATCCCTAAAAGCAATGACAAACTATTCAGATCATTTAGGTTCTCACAAGATTCTGGGAGGACTTCGGCTTTCAGTGTGAATTCACTGGAAGATTCTAAGAGAGAGGAAGAGAGAGAGAATGTGTGTGTGTGTGTGTGTGTGTGTGTGTGTGTGTGTGTGTGTGAAATCAGAACCCCACCTTATGTGTTTATTGTGGAATTTGGAAATGAAAGCCTAAAGCCCAAAATTAAAATCACACATAATAGCACGTTGCAAACTGTTTTCTGTGCTAGATGGGTCGTTCTAGGGTGTAGGACCCTGGTAACACCGTTTTCCCCTCCTTCCGGAAAGAGCTACTCACACTGCTCAAAGCCTGCATCCACATGTACCATGTCGAAGACCAGCTCAAGAGCCTGGACCCATATGCCACCTTCAGCAGGGTTGACTGCAGCTCCTTGTTCTTCCTGAGCATCTTCTCCAATGGTGACCTGAGAGTTGCGGGAGGCATTGGGGCCAGGATTGAACAGAGGAAAAAGGAGCATGGAGGCCAGGTGCTGAGGACCAGGCCATCTTACCTGGAGAGTTCTGGCCCTGAGACATCCAGACCAACATGACGTTTAGGTGCAGACAGCTGGCCCTGGGTGGCCCTGTGCTGATCACCGGCCTCGGCCCCTCAAACAGTGGGAAATGGAAGAATGGCTTGGAAATGGGCCCTGTCGACTGTGTGTCATCTGAGCACATTCTCCCAGGGGCCCAAGAAGGGCCATCGTGTCTCCAGAACCAGAACTGGAAGGTAAACTGTCAGGGGGGACAAGGAAGAGGGTCCTCAGTTGGGTGGAGGGTCTCACAGCAAGACGCCTGGCTTAATCAAACTTGGCCATTCCTGAAGCACGTTCAGTGACTAAAAGTGCCTAACATGAGCAGCTGGAACCCACTCCCTGAGAGCTGCAAGATCCATGGGGACCTCATGTACCTGTTTGTAATTACAGACAAGGACCAGCAGGCAGCATTACCGCATCCACATGGGGCTTTTGCTGGACACAGTAAGTCTCTGCCAGCCCCTCCCAGGCTCCTGGGATGCCACTTGTTCTGGATCTGTGGACAGATAACCAGGATACTTGCTCAGTGTCCATCCACTCCTTGTGGCCTGAAGCCTATCGCTCAACCCTAGCCCCACCAGACCTGCTTCCTAAGGCATTCCTCTTGCCAGAAGGAAAGGCAATGCCTTTGTCCCACAGCCCCTGCCTTGTGTCATGTCATGTGGGGGTATGGAATGAATCGGCAGCCGAAACTCCTGTCCTTCTGCCTGAGAATTCTATCTTCTCTGTCTGAGTTACCCTCTAGGGAGCTGTCAGTGGGAGAGAGAGCAGCTGTGGAAGAGAGTCCCACCTGCTTCTGTTTGACTTCAGGGCAGCCTCTCAGGGCAAGAACCCAGAGCAGGTGGAGGCCTCACAGAAGCCTGTGGCAGGGCTCTGGGCTTGATGGGCTGAGCATCTCCCTATCTGCTGTCTGCAATGGGGCCCAGAACCATCCATTCAAGAGGGTCACCACCATATTGCAGGTGTGCAGCTGGACTGTTCCCAAGGCAGAGGCTGCCATGGACTGCAAGCACACAGAGGATGTACACCTTGAGCGTGGACTATGAGGAGAACATTTTTGAAGAGGTGCATGCAGCCTGGCCCTGCCTTCACTGGGAACCCCCTTCCTTCTGGGTACTAGACAGAATTCTGTACACTTTCCTGGAGGCTCCATTCTGGTCTGTTCATTTGGAAGTTTCAGGCTGTCTGTGAGGAAGTAACAAAAGAGATGTCTCAAAGCAGGTTGTGGGGCACAGGCTGAGCCCTTGTCTCCCTCCCTAGTCCCTCTGCAGACACGGGGCTGGAAGAAGGACCTGTGGATAATGAGGGAACTGCTCTTCGAGAACCGGCCTGAGCAGCTGCTTCAAGAAAGAGCCACATTAAAGGTGCCTATAGCCCCTGATGAGGGAATGGCAGCCTCAGGCCCGCCTGCCATCTGTGAGCAGGTTTTCTTGCTAACAGGATGAAAGCAAAGAAAGCTGGAATGAGCCCAGCCCTCTCAGGCAGCTTGAAGGCTGTTGGGGCTCTTTCCAGGCCTTCTAGCCTTATGCTTTTTGGCAGGCCACTTAGGCACCTTTTTCCAGCCTCTGAGACTTCCATGCTCTGGAAGGAGAGGGTCCCACTTTTCACTAGGCTATGGGGCAGGCCCATCCAGCTCCCGGCTGCCACTAACAACCATGGGGCTCTCACCTGGGCACCCACTGCCCAAACATGGCCCTTCTAAGGCAGAAGATCATGTGTCTTGCAGTTTCAGCTTGCTAGGGCTTAAAAGTTATCAGTGCTGTTATTAAGATAGGGAAGTGAGAAAGGAAAACTTGCTGTAAAAGTTTCCCATAATCTTACCACGGAGATCATCAGCACAGATGACAGCACAGGTGGGGCTGCTGGGGAGGCTGAGGGAGAGTGTCCAGCCTGTTCTGCCAGCTGGTCCTTGCCAGGGGTGTCTCGTGACCCAGTCCCTTAGAGAAGCATGCAGATATCTTAGCAAGTATCTGGAAGGTGCAGATCAGGGCAACCCAGCACCACTGATGGTGGAGTGGGCCTACCTCCCATCAAGCTGTGTCTCCACAGCTGACCCTTGAAGCCAGGAGGTGATTTACAACATGTGCAAGGCAGTGAGCTCCATCAGCTGTGTGGCCTTCAACATTCACTTCAACTCGGACATCTCACCAGAAAGCAGTGGGGACTGGCCAATGCAGAAGCCTGCAAAGTGGAACAGAGCGTCATGGGGTGGGGGATGTGGGGCCTGCCTGCTCATCTGAGCACTGCTCCCTGAGGGTGTGATCTGCAGGCTTCCTGAAGGAGGGCTGTGAGCTCATCTGCGAGGCCCTGAGCCTGTGGAACATGGCTGAGGCCAAGCCCATGGGGATTTGTGTCTACTTGCACCTCCTTGCTCATCTCAGTACACTACAGGTGACTGTGCCGAGGTGGGCCTTGAGCATCCCCTGGGCTGTGTTAGCAAAGGGCTCTGGGCCTGGCCTGGCATTGAGGGATGGCAAATAAGGGGCCTGGGGTTGCATTGTCACCCCCTATGGTAGCATAAAATGAGAGAGTCCGACCTGCAGGACTGGAACCCTATCAAGGGGGTTAGGAGGCTGCTCACTTTCCCTCAGGGACCCATGTGGAGGAGCTGAGGGAGGTTAAGGAGACCCTAGGGACTCGCTTGTTCTGTCTGGGCTTCCCTCTGCTCCATCGTTTGATGACCATTTTCTGGGAAGAGCTCAGGAACCTCCTGTGCTCTAGTGAGACGGGGCCTCCCCTCACAGGGTATTCTGAGACTGTGAGTGAGAAGCTAACACAGTGCCTTGCAATACTCACGGGAGCTGTCATCCTCTGTGACCATCACGTGGCCTTGTAGTGTTCAGACTGCCTGGCCTGCCTGGGGTTTGGTGAGGCTGTTTTGTGGTCAGCTGCTTTAGAAGCTCACTTTCTCTGCAATCAAACAGTGACTGTTTTCATGTCTGTTTATGGGTTTAAAAAATCCTAATATTTCCTTTATAGTAGTTTCAGCTTGCATGTGTTTATTTGTATAAATTTTAGTGGAATAAAGAGAGCTTAAGACAACAGCATTTTAAGGTCTTAATGAGGCATAGACTTTCATGTCACAACAGCTAATGTTGACCTCTGTTTGCTACCTTTGTGTAAAGTATACACATAAAGTACAGCCAGAGGTGACTAGAGCTGAGCTGCTTGGGCTTGCTTGCTGGCCTGCAGTCAGGTGGACTCTGGCTGCAAGGCGGTGCCCACCCTGGATCTACATCCCCCACTCTCTCTCCTTAGTCTCTGAGTAACCAACAAGGCCGTGCTAATGAGCGGGCGAGTGATGGGCATCGCGTACCCCAATACTATCTGGGAAGATTTGAATGCCAACTGGGCTGGAGCTGTTGGGATTAGGGGCTGTGGCTGCCTTGGCTTGTCATGGTGCCACCCACAGATGTGCCTGCCCTGTGCTGCTTCTCCAGCAACCGGCTGCCCATGGCCCTGAGCCTGTCACACCATGCTTGCTACCTCATGCTACTTGTGTTTGAAAAACCCATCCAGAGATGGCATTGCTGGATGTGAGTGCTGAAAAGGGGGCAGCACCTTTGTCCTGGGGGATTAGGAGCTGACCAGATTCCTCTTGACTCCCTCCCAGAACAAGAGGGGCAGGTGCTGCAATTAATGATGCCCCCCAGAAGATGTGTTTGCACTGGCTGAGGGAATACACGATGCAGAGACCTAAATGAAGACACGTGAATGGGGTGTGTGGGCATCAGTTAGCAACTGGGAAACAGGTGCCTCTCAGGCCTCTCGTGCTCCAGCAAGAGTGGAATATGCCTGTGCCCATGAGTGTAGACATCTGGAGTGTATACATTTGGCTGCTGCTTTTGCTGCCACTATCCCCAGGTCCAACCTGGCTTGAAGTCCAGGTTTTAAGTAAAAAAATAGGAGGCTTTTTGCCATACAGCTACTTGAGAGGCTGAGGTGAAAGCATCACTGGAGGCTAAGAGTTTGAGGCTGCAGTGACCCATGATTCAGCCACTGCACTGTCAGAGTGAGACCTGCGTGCACCCTTCTACAGATAATAGCTCTGGGGCATTTGGGGATCCCTACAGTCCGGGACATCTCCCTGTCCCCTGCTGCCTGTGCTTCTTCCCTTGCCTGCTGTCAGAGCCTAACATGGAGGAGGAGGTTGCTGCCCTGTGAGCCTGAGGGAGCTGTGTCTGACTGGGACTTCTGTCTGGGGTTTTGTGAAGAGCTACTTATGAGTATGGTCTGTACAGATACCTTGTTTCAAAGAAAGTGAGCATGAGCTAGCAAGTGTAGCCACCCCACAGCTGATAAACAACTTTGTCTTGTTTTTAAATCATCAATCTTCATTTCACATTGGAATAAAGTAATTGAAGCCTGCTACCCCAGCCTCGCCCGTGTGTTCTGTAACCCAGACTCATTTCGTTGTGTGGGCTGTTGTCAGAAATGTTATAAAAAAAATTACGCATAAATAATATCAAATGTAAAATTATGCTTATAATGTCACTTGAGTGGGTGGTAAGAGGGTAGAGTCACAGGAAATCTGTTGGGGTTTACACCCCTGATACTTACCAAGCTCATGAGAGTGTGGCAGAGGTGATCATCACCTGACATTTGTGGCAGAAGAGAAAAGTCCAGCCTGAAGGCCAGGTAAGGGAGAGGTGCCAGGTTGTGGGGCCAGGCCCTGCGCATGCTGGGCCTGTTATGTCACTGAACATCTAACTGCCCGGGAACCGGCTCTTTTCACATCATCTGAGGTAAGAGGATGGAGAAGCACTCTCCAGAAGTCACACTGCGCTGGGAGAATAGAGGAGAGCCTACAACTCACCATCCTAAGGTAGGTTTTACATTGAGCTGAACTGTCTTCGAGAGCTAATGAGATGGGAGGAAGACAGTCCCCCAGGTGCACCTGACAGCCAGAGCCTATGAAGTTAGGGGGGTTGTGTGGGGGTGGCCTGTTCCTATGAGAAGAGGAGCTTAAAGCTACTAAAGCTGGTGGCTGCTGCTCTGCCATCCCTCTACAGAGCAGGCAGGTCCTCAGCTGCATGTATAGCTGAATGTCTTTTGGAGTGTTAGAGAGTCCTCTATGTCTTAGAAATTTTGAAAAGAAAAACAAATCTCAATTTTAATGTTGATTAGTTTCTCTGAGCCAGTTGGGAAAAAGATGTCCTTCACCTCAAAGATTTAAGTGACACCGAAGGGTAGCCACCAGTGTCTCGGCCACTGAAGCCTCATGCATGCTCTCACTACCAGTTTGATTTGCAGCCCCATAGTTGTGTTGTACTACATATTCTTTCCTCTGGCCTTGTCCAGTGAACACGGTTCACATGGCTAACACCACTTCTTGAGATGCGAGCACCATGCAAAGCTGAGAACGGATTGGGTTTTGTGACGATTGTGCCTCCTCCTCACCTGAGAGGCCCATTTTTCCTGGTTGATTCATTAAGTGTATTAGTGCTGTCAGTCGCCTCTGGACAATTGAAATGACAAGTGGCTGTTGATTCATAAAGAAAATGAAGGCTTTAGATGTGAAACCCTCGTTTTCTCTTGTCCTTCTCTTAGGTGAAAGATTTTATTTTTTTCAAAAGGCTACATACTGGTATCCCAGCAGGTGTAGTGTGAGAACTGGCATATGTTAGGCTATGGTGTCAGTGTGGATGGGCAATTCTTCAAGATGGAAAACCAAGTCTCACTGAGTTGCTGGAGCCACAGTGACCTTTCTCCACATCCCCCACCATGGGCTTTCACTTTTCTCCTGTGCTTGAATTTTTTTCACATACAAATTCTTTATACACACACACAGACAGACACACACATATCTCACTCTGTCAATGCAGTGGCTGAATCATGGGTCACTGCATCTTCAAATTCTTAGGCTCCAGTGATGCTTTCAAATCAGCCTCTCAAGTAGCTGGGACTACAGGCATGCAAAGCTACACCCAGACAATTTTTAAATATTTTTCTAGAGACTGAGCCTACTTATGTTGCTCAGACTCGTCTTGAACTCCTGGGATCAAGCGATCATCCCACCTTGGCCACCCAAAGTGTTTAGATTACAGGTATGAGCTAGCACTCTCAGCAAAAATATATTTTAAAGAACCGTTACAACCAAATTATGAGTTATCATTATGCCACTGCCCTCCAGCCTGGGCACCAGAGCAAGACCTTGTATCCAAAAACTAAGCAAAACTAAGCAAGAACAAAAAAAAAACCTTATAACTAAATTAAACTTTGAAGATTGTGTCATCTGTGTCCTTCCCTGCCCTCCAAGCTATCAATGTTAAATATAATGGTTATTGAGAAAATGGTTAGATATTATTAAGAAATTTCTATATATCCTCCAGCTGAGAATAGGTATTCTGATGTGGCCCAAATATTTTCTCACCGCTACCTTCAGGGTCTAAACTAGCAAGTCAGGACACCTGCAGAGGACAGTTGACCATTTTCAAATAGAAAGAGAAATACCCCGTTCATGAGAGTAATCCAGTGATTTTCAAAAAGACAAGACACACTGACATCCAGCGCAGTCAGGGCACAATTACCTTGGAAAAATCACCTCACACAGAATGGTTGAGGAGACTTTCTAAGGTGAGCAAATTTGGGAAACATAATCCTTTCTTATTTATTTCCAGCCCCCGCTGCCCCCCTGATTCCTAATGGTCACACAACAGTGTGGTCAGCAGTGGGGTGCAGTGTTGTGAGAGAGGGGCTCAGGGATGGGATGAAGGTCTTTACCGCGTTACAAAAATGCAGGTTAAAAAGTTGCTAAAAAGATGTCTAAATATTCTAATTCGTACTGTTACATAGCTGCTAAGATGCATTATACAACAGACCCAGGTAAGGGAAAGAGCACGTGCATTTCAAGTCTCAGCTCACGTCTGAATTAGCTGTGATACTCTGGGCACGTGACCCCAAATATAGGAGCCTGTTTGCCTGTCAACCCAAAACAATCCTAAGCAAAAACAACAAAGCTTGAGGCATCCTGCTACCCGACTTCAAACTATACTACAAGGCTACAGTAACCAAAACAGCACAGTACTGATACCAAAACAGATATATAGACAAATGGAACAGAACAGAGGCCTCAGAAATAACATCACACATCTACAACCATCTGATCTCCGACAAACCTGACAAAAACAAGCAATGGGGAAAGATTTCCTACTTACCAAATGGTGCTGAAAGAACTGGCTAGCCACATTCAGAAAACAGAAATTGTACCCCTTCCTTACACCTTATGCAAACATTATCTTAAGATGGATTAAAGTCTTAAATGTAAAACACCAAACCATAAAAACCCTAGAAGAAAACCTAGGCAATACCATTCAGGACATAGGCATGAGCAAAGACTTCATGAATAAAATACCAAAAGCAATCACAACAAAAGCTAAAATTGACAAATGAGATCTAACTAAACTAACGAGCTTCTGCACAGCAAAAGAAGCTATCACCAGAGTGACCAGGCAACCTACAGAGTGAAAGAAAATTTTTGCACTCTATCCATGTGTCAGAGGTCTAATATCCAGAATCTACAAAGAACTTAAACAAATTCACACACACACCAAAAAAAACCATCAAAAAGTGGGCACAGAATATAAACAGACTCTTTTCAAAAGAAGATATTTGGCTGGGCGCGGTTGATCAAGTCTGTAATCCCAGCACTTTCAGCCGTGGAGGCAGGTGGATCATGAGGTCAGGTGTTCAAGACCAGCCTGGGCCGCATGGCGACACCGCATTTCTACTAAAAACACAAAAAATTAGTAGGATGTGTTGGCGGGTGACCTGTAATCCCAGCTTCTGGGGAGGCTAAGGCAGGAGAATCACTTGAACCTGGGTGGCAGATGTTGCAGTGAGCCGAGATCCTTCCACTGCACTCCAGCCTGGGTGACAGAGCAAGACTCCATCTTAAAAATAATAATAATAAGTAAAATAAATAGAAAAAGAAGAAGGAGAAGGAGAAGAAGAAGAAGAAGAAGAAGAAGAAGAAGAAGAAGAAAAGAAGAAGAAGAAGAAGAAGAAGAAGAAGAAGAAGAAGAAGAAGAAGAAGAAGAAGAAGAAGAAGAAGAAGGGGACCTTTATGTGGTCAACAAACACAAAAAAGAGAAAAGCTCATCATCACTGGAGACTAGAGAAATGCAAATCAAAACCACAATGGGATACCTTCTCACACCATGTTGAATGGCAGTTATTAAAAAGTTAGGAAACAACAGATGCTGGTGAGGCTGTGGAGGAATAGAAACACTTTTACACTGCTGGAGGGAGTGTAAATTAGTTCAACCATTATGGAAGACAGTGTGGTGATTCCTCAAGGATCTAGAACCAGAAATACCATTTGATCCAGCAATCTCATTACTGGGTATATACCCAAAGGAATATAAATCATTCTAGCATAAAGACACATGCACTCATATGTCTATTGCACCACTGTTTGCAATAGCAAAGACTTGGAACCAACCCTAATGCCCATCATTGATAGATTGGAAAAAGAAAATGTGGCACATATACACCATGAAATAATATGCAGCCATAAAAAGAATGAGTTCATGTCCTTTGCAGGGACGTGGATGAAGCTGGGAACCATTAACCTCAGCAAACTAACACGGGAACAGGAAAGCAAACACCATATGTTCTCACTCATATGTGGGAGTTGAAAAATGAGAACACATGGACACCTGGAGCCAAAGATCACACACTAAGGCCTGTTAAGGGGTTGAGGTCAAGGGGAGGGAGAAAATTAGGACAAATACCTAATGCATATGGGGCTTAAAACCTAGATGGCAGGTTGATAGGTGCAGCAAACCACCATGGCACATGTAAAACTATGTAACAAACCTGCACGTTCTGCACATGTATTCCAGAACTTAAAAACAAACTAACAAAAGTGCACTAAGTCTGAGGGGGAGTGGGGGTAAGGGCAGGAGTCAGGCGGGGGTGGGTGCGTCCTGGAGTTTTATCCAGTCATTGACACTGATGTGGGAACCGCCCAATCAGGCGCGCGGTGGCAGAGGAGAGGAAAGGAGGGCGTGGCTTCCTGCATTTGGCGGGATCTGTGTCTCTCGCTGGTGCTGGCACAGGAGCTTGGGATCTGTCTCCTCTTTCGCCTCCTGCACCTTGAGAGCCCTGGGCTACTCTGTCACAGCCCCTGTTGCCCTGCGATCTGTAGGTCCTTGGGGACGCATAGTTAAGGTGCCAGGACATCCTGGAAGCTGGGAAATGGTGAGTATACGGGGTTCGCCATCCCGAGAGGGGAGAACAGACTGTGAAACCGGCAGGACCGGCCTCCCCACGGTTAGCTCCGAGTCTCCCGCAGCTTGGCCCTCAGTCCCCTGTGGCTGCAAGATGGCCGCTGGGCCAGCAGCGAGGACCCCCACGTCCCGTCCGGCCCATCCGGTCCTGTCCCTGGGCAGCGCCCTGCTCTGCGCCCACAGCCATGAGTATTTCCCAAATTGTTCAGGGAGGCCAGATGGGTCATCAGGGAAAAACCGCGAGTGGGTGTTTGCGTGGGAGGAGCTGCGGCCCGTGGGGTCCACAGTCTCTCGTGTTAAAAATTAACGGGAGTCTATGTTAAAAGGTTCATCAGTTTATCTGAACAAAGAGTGATTGGTGAAATGGAAAGCACCCAGCCATGATTTCTGGTCCACCAGAGGGGCATAAAGGAAAGGCTTTCATAAGATGCATGAGAAAGCAACCCAAATTCAAGAATTGGTTCCAGTTATATGGTAGCCTTATTTGAACTATCCAGATGGAAATGTCCTGGTTACATATTCAGAGGTTAATTGCATGTTTGTCATGGGTTAAACCTGCATTTTGCTTCAGGCTAAGATAGTGTTTTATAGGAAATATATTTGAGTTAGGTTTTAGATTTTTTTTTGTTTGTTTTTTGTTTTTTACCTATGAACACAGGGCACTAGAGCCACTTTAGACTAATTTTCTGATCTTTAATTATTTTAACACTCCAGAGGAGGACTGGTTTTCTCCTGTGTTTTTTTAATGTATGGCAAGTGGAACCTCTAATCGACCACCCTGTTTTTCATCCTAACTCAGGCTTGCAGTAAAATTATCAGTTCCCACTTTCTTTGCTGCATTCTCAAACGCAACACATGAGACCAGCTTTCCCTTGCCAATTTACAATGCTGTTAACTATATGTCCTTTATTATACATTTCGTTAAAGTTTTCTATTATTGGGTTTCTTTCTACTTCTCCCTACAGTTCTGGCAATATTTGCTTTTTATATTTAGAAGCCTCCCTTTTGGGTGCATAAATATATAAAGCTATATTCTCTTGAGAAATTAACCTCTATTATTGTATGGTAAACTCATTTCATTCTTGTGAGAGACATTGCTAGAAAGTCTATTTTGTCTAATTTAAGCATTACCATTTCACTCCTTTGGTTATTATTTGCATGGAATATCATTTTCTATCCTTTCACTTTTAGCCTATGCTCTTAATTCATAATTGAGTCTCTTGTAAGCAGCATATTATGAGGTTTAAAAGATTAATTTATCCACTCTGTCTGCTTTAGTCTCTTTTGGCTGCTATAACAGAATATCACACACTGGTAATTAATAAAGAATAGAATTTTATTTGACTCATGATTCTGGAGGCTGGGAAGCCAAAACAACATTATACTGGTATATGTTGAAGGTCTAGTTGCTGGATAATAACATACACAAAGATGTGAGGGAGAGAGAGCTTTTTTTTTTTAATATATAACAGATCCATTCTTGTTATAATTAGCCCATTCCCATAATAAGAACGTTAATCCATTCATGAGGGCAGAGTGCTTATAGCTTAATTAATTTTTAAAGGTTCCACCTGTTAATTCTAACATGTTGGCTATTAAATTTTATCCTAAATTTTGGAGATGACATTCAGTGTACAGCAGTATCTGTTTAGTAGATACTTTAATCTTTTTATTTGTAAGGTAGTGATAGGTAAGCAGTTACTATTGTACATTTGTAGTTTTCTGTCCATTTTAAGTTTGCTTCTTTTTTTTCTGGTTCTGTCTTTCCTGTGGTATTGTTCATTTTTGTTGAGACAAAGTTATGCTTTCTTGCTCAGACTGAAGTGCAGTGGCATATCACAGCTCACTGTAGCCTTAACCTCCTGGGCTCAAATAATCGTCCCACCTTAGCCACCCAAGTAGCTTGGACTGCAGACATGTACCACAACACCCAAGGAGATTTCATTCTTCCACCTTGGCCTCCCAAAGTGTTGGAATTATAAGCAGGAGACACCATATCCAATGTGTAATTTTTGTTGTTTGTGTATGCTTTAATTACTTTCTCTTTTTCTTTACTATTTTTTTTTCCTACTGGTTATCATGAGACTTATGTAAAACATCTTGTATTTTAATAGTCTAGTTTAAGATGATAACAATTTATAGTATTCTGAAATTCAGTATGTATTTACCATTTTAGTGACATTTATACTTTAGTATTTTTCATATTGTTAGTTAGCATTTCATCATATCAATGTGAAGATTTCTTCCAGACCATGGCTGGAGAAGGAAAGAAGGTGTGTTTTGCCTGATTCAGGGACTATAGAGAGAACCAAGTTCTGCAGGCCTGTCATCTAAGTCTCAGGTGAGTATGAATTCTCTTGTGTTTTCCACAGACTGTTGCAGTGTCAGGACCAAGGTCAAATGAGTTATAGCCAAGTCTACAGTAAGATGTGGCAGTATTCTGTTTTGAAGCGAGGACCATGATTGGCAAGCTTGCCACTTGGTCAAGTGCTTACCCTCTAAAGATGTCTTCCTTGGTCTTTGCCTCCAGCTGGGTGTCACAAACTCTGAACTGGATTCCAAGGCTTTCATGAATGCACTTATGTTTGCTGTGGCAGCTGCATTATGTCGTGGGGGATGTGGATGCAGAACCTCCCATTCTGTCGTCTTGCTTATGTTACTCTCCTTTATGTTTCACTTTCTCAAATGAATGTCAAGCAGGTGATTTTCAGATTCAAAAGTTCTAAAATAAATTGCTCAAATTTACACATTATGTAAGCTGTTAATAAAATTTCTTGTAGGTGCTACATATTTATTAAAATTTTTGGTTGTAATTTTAAGCTCACTGTAGGCAGAAAGGAATCATTAAGATTTCTATTCTTTTTTAGTCTGTATCTAAATGACCATATATTTTAATTCCAAATATTTACTTTATACTTCAGTAATGCTCATTGTATTTTGCAAAATTTATATTGTTCTTTTATTTGAAAATATAAGGCTTTTTTTAGCTCCTGAAATCTATATTATAGTCATATAGTTTTATTATAGTATTTGATAAGAAGAGCAGCAACATATTGAGAACAGAATAAAATTCTGCTGTCTTTTTAATGATTATTTATTAAATTCTTCTCATTAAAGCCTATTATTAATGATTGTAATGTATTTACTGTATAATTTTACTGCAATTTATTAAATGCCAATGACTTCTAATGTCTGCTTTTCATGACTGCACACAGTTTAAAGCTGTAGATATCTAAAGGGTTATTTTTCAGCCCGGCACGGTGGCTCATGCCTGTAATCCCAGCACTTTGGGAGGCCAAGGTGGGTGGATCACGAGGTCAGGAGATCAAGACCATCCTGGCTAACACGGTGAAACCCAGTCTCTACTAAATATAGAAAAAATTAGCCGGGCATAGTGGCGGGTGCCTGTATTCCCAGCTACTCGAGAGGCTGAGGCAGGAGAATGGCGTGAACCCAGTAGGCGGAGCTTGCAGTGAGCCGAGATGGCACCACTGCACTCCAGCCTGGGCGACAGGGTGAGACTGTCTCAAAAAAAAACAAAAAGGGCTTATTTTTCATTGTATATTTATGTTGTATTCAGGATTTTATGCATTAAAATCTCTCTTCTTATTTTCAGTTCTGTGTTGTTGTGTTTCTTTTCTGGGGGGGTATGTTTTCTCAGAGCAGTTAATTGTATTTTTGCTTTTAAAGCTTGATATCATGAGTTGAATGATAATTTTTTAACTCGGTACACATTATGACAATGTGATATTTAATTTATATTTGAATTAGCTGTGTTTGTTGCTTATAGATATATCTATGTGTTTTTCACCTATGTAAGTATGTCATTTTTTTCATCTTTTTTCCTTGTTTTTTTTTTTTAAGTTTCAGATATGCTTTCTTTTTCTTTTTTTTGTTTTTTTTTTTTTTAAAGAGAATTTTAAAACAGAGTCAAATGAACAAAAATCAGTTATTTGTCCTCTTGCAGGGCGGGGAGACCTTCCTTCCCCACGGGTTTGAGGCTATGGCTAAGTGGTGAGCCTTGGTGAGACGCAGAAAGGATCCATCCCAGGCACTTGGCTAGAGGTAAGTAAAAATAGCCTTTGGGCCAGAAGACCTGATAGTTTGGGTACTCGTCTGGACATAAGTCCCCATCTTCCCAGAAATGTCGTCTTTTGTCTGCAACAACTGGCTGGAGAAATATTTCAGAAAGATGTGTGCCTGGAACACCCAAAGGCATACCTTTCCTTTCTCCTTGGCATAGGCCTTGCAGCACTGAAGAAAGACCAGGTTTGCAACGGAGCCTTCAATACTCTTCATCCCTATGGATCTCAGGGGCTCATAGGGTGACAGGAGAGGAGACAAGCTAGCTTGGGAAGAGTCTTTGTCCTTCAGCTTCTCCTCTACTGAAACACTATATACTTGGGGCCACAGTTCATAGCAAAACACACATGCTGTCTTTCTTTCTCTCACACCCCCATCTCGGGAACCCAACAACTTGATGGCAGGTAGCTCTGGGTATCCTTGGTCTGGCATTCACCCACTGGGCATCTAAGCTGTCCTAAAGCTCTTTTCAATCACTTCTCACTGTTTCCAGGCCCATGTGGGTAGGTGTTCCAGCCTTCACTCTTTCAGGCTGTTCATAAAGGCACAGTGTGGGAAAATCCCCTACTGTGATGGCCATTGCTGGGAAGCAGGGAAGGTTAAGGGCCCACTGCTGCCCAAGGCTAGTGTAGACACCCTCTGCTCCTCCACTCATCTCCTCAAATAATGATATCAGGTGCAGCAGCTGCTGTCTGGAATGTTATCAAACCAGGACTGCACAGGCACTGCATTCTCTGTGTGGAAGATGTAAGAAGCAGGCGAGTTGTCCAGGATGAGTTTTCCTCAGGTCCCTCCCCAGACGGCTGATGTCCTTGACATAGCAGCCCTGGTGAAACAAACATGACTCATGGGACAGGCAGCCCCAGACCATCCCATACCCGTCCAGCTCACCCGTCACAGGATCTGCCTACTTGTTCAGGCTGGGAAGAAGAGAGCAATGACGAAAACACATTTAAACATTTCCTCCATTCATGTCAGGAACTCATCCATATAAGGCCTCATGAGCACATGGATCTGGTGCATGGTCCCCTCAAGCTCTACAGGCACTAGGCAGTCAGCATTGCTGATTGGCTTAAAGGAGCTATGCACAAGGGTTTCATCCAGGTCAGTGACCATACAGATCCTTCCTTGATTTTTCTCTGTCACCTCTGGGAGCAGGCAGGTTCCTGGGATCTGATAAAACTGATATTGGAGACGCTGGAGCTGATCCGACATAGCAATGGTGTTGACTCCCTCCTTATGTGTGGATTGCTCAGCGGGGGAACTTGACTGTCCAACATGCTGGGTGCAAGAACAGCAGAAAGGGGACTTTTAAGATGTGGCAAACATGAGGCCTCTTCGGAGAGGACTTTGGAAACCAGGCCTTGCTTGGTAAGGACCAGGGCATCTTCCCTCCATGCCTGGGTGATGATGGAGCCTTGTTCCATCTAACAATCCTGAGGGCTGGGCTGGGGGGCATGGGCTGGGGCCTGATTCAGTTCCCGAGATTCTGACCTCCACAGCTGTTCACATACCCCTTCTCCTTTCCATACTGGCCGGGAAGGGAGGTGGCTTGTAGGGAGGGTGGTTGGCCTTGGCAGCGGCTCCCCAGTGTGCCCCCATCCCCGATTCCCCCAGCGAGAGCTTCAAGATCCTCAGTTTGGGTCTAACATAGAGAATCCACCAGAAACACATTTTTTTTCAAGTTTTATTTTAAGTTCAGGGGTCCATATGTGATAAAGTTTATTTTTCAACTTTTATTTTAAGTTTAGGGGTCCATGTGCAGAGTATGCAGGTCTCTTACATACATAAATGCGTACCACTGTGGTTTACTGCACAGATCATCTCATCACCCAGGTACCAAGCCCAGCATCCGCAGCTATTCTTCCTGATGCTCTCCTTCCCCTCCCCCATGCCATGAAACAGGTGTCCAGTGTGTGTTGTTCTTCCTGATGTGTCCATGTGTTCTCATTGATCTGCTTCTGCTAATAAGTTAGAATAATAATAGGCGGTGTTTGGTTTTCTGTTCCTGCATTAGTTTGCTGGGAGTAATGGCTTCAAATTCCAACCATGTCCCTGCAAGGGACATCATCTCATTACATTTTATGGCTTCATAGTGTTCCATGGTGTATGTGTACCACATTTCCTTTATCCAGTGTATCATTGATGGGCATGTAGATTGATTACATGATGTTGCTATTGTAAATAGTGCTGCAATGAACATTTGTATACATGTATTTTTAAAATAGAATTATTTATATTCCTTTGGGTGTAATGGTATTGCTGGGTCAAATGGTAGTTCTGCTTCTAGGTCTTTGAGGAATCTCCACACTCTCTTCCTCAATGCTTGAAATAATTTACACTCCCACCAACAGTGTAAAAGTGTTCCCTTTTCTCCACAACCTCGCCAGCATCTGTTTTTTTTTTTTTTACTTTTTATTAATAGCCATTATAATTTGTGTGAGATGGTATCTCATTATGGTTTTGATTTGTATTTATGCAGTTATCAGTGATGTTGAGCTTTTCATGTTTGTTGGGCACATGTATGTCCTCTTTTGAGATATGTCTGTTCATGTTCTTTGACCCTTTTTTAATGGGGCCTTTTTTTTTTCTCTTGTAAATTTTGTTAAATTCCTCCTAGATTCTGGATATTAGACATTTGTGAGATGGATAGGTTGCATAATTTTTCTCCCATTCTCTAGGTTGTCTGCTCTGATGATAGTTTCTTTGGCTCCGCAGAAGCTCTTTAGTTTAATTAGACCCCATTAGTCAATTTTTGCTTTTGTTGCTATAGCTTTTTGCCTTTCTGTCATAAAGTCTTTTCTCATGCCTATATCCTGAATGGTATTATCTAGATTTTTTCTTCTAAGGGTTTTATAGTTTTGGGTTGTACATTTAAGTCTTTAATCCATCTTGAGTTAATTTTTGTACATGGTGTTAAGAAGGGTTCCAGTTTAAATTCTCTGCATATGGCTAGCCAGTTCTCCTAGCACCATTTTTTGAATAGGGACACCTTTCCCTAATTCCTTGTTTTTGTTAACTTTGTCAAAGATCAGGTTGTTGTAGGTTTTTGGCTTTATTTCTAGGTTCTCTACTTTGTTTCATTTGTCTATGTGTCTGTTTCTATACCAGTACCATGCTGTTTTTGTTACTGTACTCTTCTAGTATAGTTTGAAGTTAGGTAGAGTGACACTTCCAGCTTTTTTTTTTTTTTCTTAAGGTTGGCTTGGCTATTTGGGCTCTTTTTTGGTTCCATATGAACTTTAAAAGTTTTTATTTTTCTAATTCTCTGAAGAATGTCAGTAGTTCAATGGGAATAGCATTGAATCTATGAATTACTTAGGGCCATATGCCCATATTCATGATACTGATTCTTCCTCTCCATGAGCATGGAATATTTCTCCATCTGTTTTGTGTCCACTCTGATTTCTCTGAGCAGTTGTTTGTGGTTCTCCTTGAAGAGGTCCTTCACTTTCTTTCTTAGCTGTATTCCTAGGTATTTTTTTCTCTTTGTAGCAAATGTGAATGAAAGTTCATTCATGATTTGTCTCCCTGCTTGCCTGTTGTTTGTGCATGGGAATGCTAGCTACTTTTGCACATTGATTTTATATCCTGAGATTTTGCTACTGTTGCTTATCACCTTAAGAAGCTTTGGGCCTGAGACAATGAGGTTTTCTAGATGTAGGATCAGGTCATCTGCAAACAAAGATAATTTGACTTCCTCTCTTTCTATTAGAATACTCTTTATTTCTTCCTCTGGCCTGATTTTCCTGGCCAAGGCTTCTGATACTATATTGAATGGTAGTGGTGAAAGAGGGCATTCTTTTCTTGTGCCAGTTTTCAGGTGGAACGTTTCTAGCTTTTGCACATTCAGTATGATATTGGCTGTGGGTTTGTTGTATATGGCTCTTATTATTTTCAGGTATGTTTCTTCACTTCCTAGTTTATTGAGAATTTTAAACCTGAAAGAATGCTGAATTTTATTGGATGCTTTTTCTGCATTTATTGAGATAATCATGTGGTTTTTGTATTTAGTTCTCTTTATGTGATGAGTCACATTTATTGATTTGCATATGTTGAATCAACCTTGCATCCTGGGGACAAAGCCAACTCCATTGTTGCGGATGAACTTTTTAATGTGCTGCTGGATTTGTTTTGCCAGTATTTTATTGAGGATTTTTGCACAGTGTTTACCAAAGACATTGGCATGATGTGTTGTTGTTGTTGTTGTTGTTGTAGTATCTATGTTAGGTTTTGGTATCTGGATGATGCTGGCCTGATAGAATGAGTTAGAGAGAACTTCTTTGTCTTCAATTTTTTTTGGATGGTTTTAGGAGAAAAGGTACCATCTCCTCTTTGTACCTCTGCTCAAATTCAGCTTGCTTGGTAGGCTAGTTTTTACTGCCTCAGTTTCAGAACACATTATTGATCTATTCAGGGTTCAGTCTTGTGGAGGGTTTATTTTGCAAGGAAATTGTCTATTTCTTCTAGATTTTCTGGTTTATGTGCATACATATGTTTATAGTGTTCTCTGATTGTTGTTCATATTTCCATGGGATCAGTGATGATATCTCCCTTATTATTTCTAATTGTGTTTGGTTCTCCTTTCTTTTCTTATTTATTTGCCTAGCTAGTGTTCCATCTAGTTTATTAATTTTTTTCATAAAAACAGCTCCTGGATTTGTTGACTTTTTTTTTTGGAAGAGTTTTCAGTGTCTCTATCTCCCTCAGCTCTACTTTGATCTTGGTTATTTCTTGTTTTCTGCTACCTTTCTGGTTAGTTTTCACTTGGTTTTCTAGTTCTTTTCATCAAGATGTTAGGCTGTTAATTTTAGATCTTCTAGTTTCTCTTTTTTTTCTTCTTGTGGCAGAGTCTCACTCTGTCACCCAGGCTGGAGTACAGTGGCATGATCTCCGCTCACTGCAACCTCCACTTCTCAGTTTTAAGTGATTTCTGCTGTCTCAGCTTCCTGAGTAGCTGGGATTACAGATGTGCATCACAAAAACCAGCTAATTTTTGAATTTTTTTTGTAGAGGTGGGGTTTTGTTGTGTGGTCCAGACTGGTCTTGAACATCTGGCCTTAAGTGATTTGCCTACCCCAGCCTCCCAAAGTGCTGGAACTACAGGCATGAGCCACCACACCCAGCCCTTTCTATCTTTTTGATGTGGACATTAGTGCTATAAATTTCCCTCTTTTCTTGGTTTCCAGTGATTATTTTATTCTATCTTGGTGAGTCATCAGGGAAATAATCTTAAATTTACAATCAACATATAGTTTAAATCCATATAATTGTGTGAGAAGAACCCTTTGTTATTTGAAGGTGATGTTTGAAAGATTTTCTAACTGTGCCTTTTAGTTAGTCTTAAATTTCTAATTGTAGTTAAAAACATGCCATTGTCATTTCTGACATTTTAAGTATATGGTTTAGAAGTGGTTAGTATAGTTCTATTGTTTTGCAGTAGGTTTTAGATAATTTGTGTCTTACAAAAGTAAAAGTGAATACTCATTACTTATGAAAGAAGTTAGTTAGCTTGCCTTAGGTAGATAGCAAGAGAAGAGTCCCTGGAAAGTCCCTGGTCAGTGCCTCATCCCTGCATAACATATAAAGAAGCCTGGAAAAAATCAAGCTGCAGACACTAACAAGGGAACTAGCATATGTTGTTGTGCTTGGGGACATGCCCGTGGCTGCACAGATAGAAAAACCTCTGGCCCATTTGGATAAAAACTTGTAGAAACCTCCAGCTCACTCAGATAAAGGAACAAGAACGACCTAGCATAGAAATGCCTTTGTTTGGCCAGGCACGGTGGATCATGCCTGTAATTCCAACAATGTCGGAGGCAGCTGTGGGCGGATCATCTGAGGTCGGGAGTTTGAGACCAGCATGACCAAGATGGACAAACTCTGTCTTTACTAAAAATACAAAACTAGCCAGGCATGGTGCTGCATGCCTATAATCCCAGCTACTTGGGAGGCTGAGGCAGGAGAATCGCTAGAACCCAGGAGGCGGAGGTTTCTGTGAGCCGAGATCGCACCATTGCACTCCAGGCTGGGCAACAAGAGCAAAACTGCAAAAAAAAATAAAAATAAATAAAAAAAGAAAGTACATCTCAAAAAAAAGAAAGACAAGAAAAAGAAAAAAAAGAAGCACTTTTGTCTTTGTACAGTCAGTGGGCTCCCAGGAAAATGTTCCTTCTCTTTTTGTTGGCATGGGCACTGTGGGATCTGGTGCATTCCGGTCGACACTCTCGTTTATTTGGACTGTAAGTCTGACCTCTATGAATAATTACTTCAGCCCCTGAGTGCTCCCGGGCCAAGCTCCTTGGCCAAACTTTCACCTTAGCTTCTGATAAGTCTTGGGCCAAGCTAAGCAGCATCTATCAATCATCCCTTCAGCTCCTGATTGATCCCGGGCCAAAGGCCTGGGCCAAGCTGAGCCACACGTTTTTCAAGACAGCCTGTGAACTAGGCACATATCCTTCCCTTCCCAGTCCATAAAAACCCTGGACCCAGCCTCGTAGAGGGCACCACTTTCAGACACCTATCTCTGCTGGCAAAGAGCTTTCTTCTCTTGCTTCTTAAACTTTCACTCCAACCTCACCTTTGTGTTCACGCTCCTTAATCTCCTTAGAGGTAGAACAAAGAACTCTGGATGTTATCTCAGACTACGAGAGACTGTTACATCTTGGTGCACTGCTGAGACTACGACACTTGGTTTCTTTGAGTTTGACTAAATATTTTACATGAGTGTAATTATACAGCTTTCCTTTTTGACTGTCTTATTTTACTTAACAGAATGTTTTGAAGATTTGTCCTTATTGTAGTACTTTTCAAGATTTCCTTATTTTTAAGGCTGAATGCTATCCCAGTGATTGTACGTGCCCTGTTTGCTGAATCTACTCATCCTTAAGGGTACATTTGCTTCCAGGTAACATGTTTGTGAGTAATACTACAATGTGCATATATCTATTCCATGTTCTGCTTTGTCTGTTTGGGATATTTTTCATACACTGATTCAGTACCATGTGTATTCCCTTGCTTTTGTTGTCTCATCCGTTGATGCTACGTCCCCCAAATTATTGCCACGACCAGTTGTAATGAAGCTTCACCCTTCTGTATTGTGCTAGGAATTTTACAGCTATAGGTTTTACATTATAGTCTTCATTCATTTTTTAAAATTGACACATGTAATTGTGCATATTTTGGGGAAACAATTATATATATGTGTTGTATAACAATAAAAATCAGTACTTCTATATTTGTTGCCTCATGCATTTGTTATTTTTGTGGTGAGAATATTCAAAAGCTCCTTCTCTAGCTATTTTATTTTATCTTTATGTATTAATTATTTTAGAGACAGGATCTTGCTCTAACACCCAGACTGGTGTGCAGTGGTGCAATCCTAGCTCACTGTAACTTCAAACAGTCTTCTAACCTTAGTTTCCCAATTAGCTGAGACTACAAGAAGCTGCCACCATGCCTGGCTAATGTTTTAATTTTTCATACAGACGGGGTCACACTATGTTGTCCAGGCTCATCTTGAACTTCTGACGTCAAGTGATTCTCCTACCTCAATCTCCCAAAATGTATGGATTGCAAGAATATGCCACCAAAACTGGTCTCTTTTAGCTATTTTGTAATATGAGATAACTTTTCATTAATTATTATTATTCTACTGTGTAATAAAAAACAAAAACTTATTTCCCCTATCTAATCATAACACAATACCTGTGAAGCAGACTTTTCCCATCCTCCTGCTTCAGTCTCTGGTAACCCCTGTTGTACTCTTTGCTTCTATCAACCCTTTTTTTCAGGTTCCTCAAATGAGTGAGATAATAAGATCATAAAGTATTTGTGTTTCTCTGTGTGGCTTATTTTACTTAACATGGTATGCTCAAGGTTCATCCATGCTCTTTTTAACTGACAGAATTTTATGCTTTCTTATGGCTGAATAGTATTTCGCTGTGTATATATAGTACATTTTCCTTATCCATTTATCTGTTGCTGTACATTTGAATTGATTCCATATATAAGCTATTATAAATAGTTCTGTAATGAACATGGGAATGCAAATATCTTTTTGACACAGTAATATCCTTTCTTTTGGATATACACCCAGAAGTAAAATTGCTGGATCATATAATAGATATATTTTTAATTTCTTTCAGAAACCTCCATACTATTTTCTATAATGGCCATACTAATTTACAATTCCACCAACAAGGTATACATCCACTCTTTTTTATATCCTCATTAGTTCTTGATTTATTTATTTATTTATTTTTATTATAGCCATTCTAATGGGAATGAGGTGGTACTTCATTGCAGTTTGGATTTGCATTTCCTTGGTGATTAGTAATGTAGAGCATCTTTTTGTGTTCCAGTTAGCCATTTTTGTATCTCTTTTTGACAAACATCTATTAAGATCTTTTGCATTTTTTAAATTAGATTATAAGTGTATTTTATTTTGAGATTTTAAAGTTTCTTATATATTCTGAATATTAGCCTTTTGTCACATGTATATGAAAACATTTTCTGTCATCGCCTAAGCTGTCTCTTCAAACTTTTAGTTGTTTTTTTAATATGAAAAAGCATTTTAGTTTGACATAATGTTGTTTGTTTATTCTTGATTTTGTTGCCCATGTTTTGAAATCTTATTTTAATAATCCTTTCACCGTCCAATGTTATAAAGCATTTTTTTATGTTTTTCTCTAATAGTTTCATAATTGATGGCATTACATTTAAGTCTTTAGTTTTAGTTGATTATCATATATGGCAAGGTACAAGGGTCTAGTATTATTTTTCTGAATATAAATATTTAAATGGCCCTGCACCATTTATTAAAGAGATTAGCTTTTCTCTAAAGTGTGTTCTTGGTAATTTTGTTGACAATCTGTTGGCTTTAGGTGCATAAATTAACTTCCGGGCTTATTGGGCATATTAGTCTATGTGTTTGTTTTTATGCCAGTACAGTGCTGTTTTGGTTACTGTAGCTTTATAGCAAGTTTTGAAGTTTGATGAAGTGATGCCTTCAGCTTTGCTTATTTTGCTCAAAGTTGCTTTGTCTATTCAGAGTTTTTTGTGGATCCATATAAATTTAAATTTTTTTATTTCTGTGAAAAAATGTCATTGGTATTTTGATAAAAATCACATTAAGTCTGTAGATCACTTTGGGTAGCTATATCAACAGTATTCTTCCAGTGTATAAACACAATATTTTTTATTTATTCATTTGTATTTTATATTTTTTATCCATGTTTTGTCGTTTTCAGAGTAGAGATCTTTTACCTTTTTAGTTAAGTTTGTTGCTAGGTGTATTAGTTGGGCTTCCCTAGAGAGATCATGAGATCCCACAATAGGTTGGTTGTCTGCAAGTTTGAGGAGCAAGGAGAGGCGGTCCATGTCCCAAAGCTGAAGAACTTGGAGTCTGATGTTTGAGGGCTGCAAGTGTCCAGCACAGGAGAAAGATGTAGTCTGGGAGCTTAGGCCAGTCTCTCTTTTTCACGTTTTTCTGCCTGCTTTATATTCACTGTCAGCTCATTAGATGGTGCTCACCCAATTAAGAGTGGATCTCCCTTTCCCAGCCCACTGACTCAAATGTTAATGTCCTTTGGCAACACCCTCACAGACACACCCAGGATCAATGCTTTCTATCCTCCAATCCAATCAATTTGACACCCTGTATTAGCCATCACATTAAGTATTTTCATTTTTGTAGCTTTTGCATATGCAGAAGAAGAATTGGATGAAATTCAGCCTTGATTATGATGAAAACTCTCAACAAGTTAGGAATAGAAGGTATGTGCCTTAACTCAATAAAGGCCATTTATGAAAAAGCAATGCTAACTTTATACTGAATAAGGAAAAGTTGAAAGCTTTCTCTCTGAGATCTGGAACAAGACAAATCGTCCAAACTTTCAGCCCTCTTATTCAACATAGTACTGGAAGTCCTAGCCAAGGAAATTAGGCAAGAGGAAGAAATAAAAGTCATACTAATTGAAAGGATGAAGTCAAATGGTCTCTGATTGTGGACAAAATAATCTTATATGTGAAAAACTCTAAACACTACACCAAAAACTATTAGAACTACTAAACAAATTCTGTAACATTGCAGAAAATTAACACAGTAGTAGCTTTCTGTATGATGATAGCGAACTATCTGAAAAATAAAATTATAAATTCCATTTTAATAGCTACCAAAAATTAGTTATTTTGAGTTTATTTCTTTATTTGTGGTGGAGTCTTTCTCTGTCACCAGGCTGGAGCGCAGTGACATGATCTCAGCTCACTGAAACTCTTGCCTCCCGGATTCCAGAGATTCTCCTGCATCAGCCTCCTGAGTGTCTGGAACTGCAGGCATGTGCCACCACCGCCAACTAATTTTTGTTTGTATTTTTAGTAGAGACGTTGTTTCCCCATGTTGGCCAGGATGGTCTTGATATCCTGACCTTGTGATTCACTTGTCTCAGTCACCCAAAGTGCTGGGATTACAGGTGTGAGCCACCACACCCAGCCTTGAGTTTATGTTTTTATCTGTTGCAAGTTAAGGTCTAACTTTGTTATTTTTTCCTTGTAAATTTTTATTATTCCCAATACTGTTTGTTGAAGAGACTGTTCTTTCCTTTTTGTGATTCTTGGAACACATTTTAAAAATATGTTTACTATACCCATGAGGACTTATGTCTGGACTCTCTCATCTGTTTCATCATTCATTTGTCTTTATGTCAGTACCAAACTGTTTTGATTACTATATGTTCATAGTATGTTTAGAAAATAGAAAGTATGATGCCTCTGTCTTTATATTTTTTTCCCAATATTGTTTGGCTGTTTGTGATCACTTGAAATTCCATAAAAATTGTAGAATATTTTAAAACTTCTGCAAAAAGTTTCATTGGTATTTTGATAGAAAGTATATTGAATCAGCTGAGGGTTGTGGCTCATGCCTGTAATCCCAGCACTTTGGGAGGCTGAGGAAGGTGGAACACCTGAGGTCAGGAGTTCCAGACCAGCCATGGAGAAACCCCATCTCTACTAAAAATACAAAATTAGCCAGGTGTGGTGGCACATGCCTGTATTCCCAGCTACTCAGGAGGCTGAGGCAGGAGAACAGCTTGAACCCAGGAGGTGGAGGCTGCAGTGAACTGAGATCACACCATTGCACTCCACCTTGGGCAACAAGAGCAAAACTCCGTCTCAAAAGAAAAAGAAAGAAAAGAAAAGAAAGAACATTGAATCCGTAGACCACTTTTGGTAGTAGTGACATTTTAACAATATTAAGTCTATAACCTCTTGAACAAGAGTGTGTTTGAGAATTTGTTGTTTAATTTTTACTTATTCTTTGACATGTTAGTGTTTTTAACTTCTTGTTTTATTGTATCATAGTTAGGAATAATTTGTGTAATTCCATCTGCTGAAATTTGCTAAGATGTGTTTTTTAACTTAACAGGTGGTCTATCTGGAATATTGTGGCATGTGTGATTAAAAGTATTGCATATTCTACTGTTGAGTGGAGAGATATAAATGTGACTGTTAGGTCTAATTGTTCTATTGTGTTGTTGAAATCCTCTGTTTACTTATTCATCTTATGTTTGTTTTTTAATTTACATTACTAAAAGTCTGATAAAAAAGTCATCTACTGTTATGTGCTGGCTACTTCATGTTTCAATTCTGTAAAATGTTGCTTCATATTTTGGGAACTGTGATGTAAGGCACATACATTACTGTTGCTTTTATTGTTGCATGTTGTTTTATTGTTGTTGCTTTTATTGATATATGTTGTTTTTTGTTGCTTTTATTGTTGTTGTTGTTATTGTCCTTTTCTTCTTCTCTCTTGAGGAAGTTTTTGATATAATATATATTTTGTCTACCATGACAGTATTTGATTTTGCATTTAATTTTTTTTATTCTTTCATGTATGGCTTATGCGTGTTCCAGATCATAATGTGGTCATTTGTAGGAAGCAGAGAGTTGAATCTTGTTTCATGAATTTATTTAGTGAAAGTATGTTTTTGATTGACATAATTTATATATATAAAAAATCATTACTAAAAGGGAATGATTTCCTATGACTTTCTATTTAATTTTGTTTCTTTTTTGTTTTAGGTCCTGTAGCTTTTTCTTTTGAGACGGAGTTTTGCTCTGTTGCCCAGGCTGGAGTGCAGTGGTGCAATCTTGGCTCCCTGCAAGCTCCGCCTCCCGGATTCACGCCATTCTCCTGCCTCAGATTCCCCAGCAGCTGGGAATTCAGGCACCCGCCACCATGCCCGGCTATTTTTATTTTTATTTGTTTATTTTTTTTAGTAGAGACAGGGTTTCACTGTGTTAGCCAGGATGGTCTCAATCTCCTGACCTCGTTGATCCACCCACCTCGGCCTCCCAAATTGCTAGGATTACAGGCGTGAGCCACCGCTCCTGGCCGGTCCTGTAGCTATTATTTCCTGTTTTTCTCTCTTGTTCTCTTTCTTAGCATATTATTGATTTTTATAGTGACATGTTTTACTTCTTTTCTCACTACTCTCTCTGTGTGTATGTCTTTGTGTGTGTGTACTATAGGTATTTCCTTTTTTTTTTTTTTTTTGACAGGGTCTTGCTCTGTCGCCCAGGCTGGAGGGCAGTGGCACAATATCTGCTTATTGCAAGCTCTGCCTCTCAGGCTCAACTCAAACAATCCTCCCACCACAGCCTTCTGAGTACCTGGGACCACAGATGTGCACCAGTACTCCTGGCTAATTTTTGTTATTTTTCATAGAGACAGGGTTTTGCCATGTTGCCCAGACTAGTCTCAAAATCCTAAGTACTATAGGTATTTTCTTTGTTGTTACTATAGATATTACCAAAAATAACTACTATAGCATATAAAACCCTGCCTCTTTATGGCTGCCTATGTGTTTTATTGATGTCGCGAATTACATCATTTTGTATTGTGAATCTATTGGCACAGTTATATAGTCATTTTTAAGTCTTTGTTATCTCAACTACATAGCAGAATTAAAAGTATTCTGTGCATCTTCATTATAATAACAAAAATATTATAATTGTGTACATAATTATCTGTTAGAAAACTTTATATTTTACATAATTCTATGTTGCTCTCATCATTATTTTATTTTTTAATGTCAATGACTAGCATTTTTTTATACAGGCCTACCGTGCATAAATTAATACAGTTTTCGTTGATCTTGAATATTCTTTATTTTTATTTTTTAATTCATTTGAAATGATAGCTTTGGCAGACATAGTGTTCTTGGTTGGTACTTGCCATTTTTTTCAGCACTTTGAGTATGTCATCCTACAACCTCTTGCCTGCATGCTATTGGCTGAGACATCTGCTGGTCATCCTATAGGGGTAACATTGTACATGCTAAGTCATTTTTTCTTGCTGACTTCAAGATTCTCGGTGTTTTAACATTTGAATCTCTGATTAAAATGTGTCTTGTCATGGGTCTCCCTGTGTTGCTACTAGTTGGTAAAGTTTCATTAAATTTTAGGCCATTTTCTCCCTCAAATTTTGAGAGTTCTCAGCCACTGTTTGTTTCTTGAAATAACTTTGCTGCTCTCTTTTCTCTCTTTTTATTTTAGAATTCCCATTAGAAGTATATTGGCCATCTTAATGGTATCCCATAAGTCCCTTAGGCTTTCTTAATTTTTAAAATTATTTTTACCCTCCTCACCATATAATTTCAAAAGACTTCTTATGAAGCTTGCTGGATTTTTTCCTGCTAGATCAAACCAGTTGTTGGACCTTCTAGTGAATCTCTAAATTCAGGTATTTTATTTTTCAGCTCCACACTTTATGTTTCTATTTTGTACTTTTAATCACTTCATTGATAATCTCATTATCTTCATGAATTGTTTTCTTTTTCTGTTTAGCTTTCTATGTTCTTCTTTAGCTGAATGAGCATCTTTAAGCTAGGTGTTTTAGCCAGGCACATTGATATGTGTGTCTAATTCCAGCTACTTTGAAAGCTAAGGCAAGGGGATTACTGTATTAATAAATTCTCATGCAGCTAATAAAGACATAACCAAGACTGGATAATTCATAATGAAAAAGGTTAATGGCCTCACAGTTTCACATGGCTGGGGAGGTCTCACAATTATTGGAGCAAACAAGAGACTTTGTTCAGGGGAATCTCCACTTATAAAACCATCAGATCACGTGAGACTTTTTTGCTATCATGAGAACAGCATGGGAAAATCCCACCCCCATGATTCAATTACCTCCCACAGGGTCCCTCCCAGGACATGTGGAGATTATTACAATTCAAGATGAGATTTGGTTGGGGACAGAGAGCCAAACCATATCAATTACTTAAGGCTAGGAGTTTCAGACCACCCTGGGCAATATTGTGAGAAGCTATATGTAAAAAATATTTTTACAGATTAATCATGAATGGTGGAATGTTCCTGTAGTCTCAGGAAGTTGGAGGCTGATGTAAGATTATTCCTTGAGTTCCCAGGAATTTGAGGCTGCATTGAGTTATAACCATGATATTGTATTCCTGTCTGGGTGAGAGAGTAAGACCGCCTTTTAGAATTTCAAATTTGTTTTAGATTTAGGAGGTACCTACACAGGTTTTTTACATGGGTATTTTGTATAGTGCTGAGGTTTGAAATATAAGTAATTCCATCACTTATGCAGTGAGCATAGTACTAAATAGACAGTTTTTCAGTTCTTGATCCCTCCCTCTCTCCACCCTCTAAGAGTTGTCTTTTATTTTTATTTTTATGTCCATGTGTACCCAGTGTTAATTTCCATTTATAAGTGAGAACATCAGTATTTTTGTTTTCCATTTCTGCATTAATTTGATTGTAGAATGACCTTTAGTTGTATTAATGTTGCTGCAAAGGACAAGTTTTTTTTTTGTTGTTGTTGTTTTTGCTAAGTAGTATTGCTGTACATGTGACACTTTTTAAATTCAATTTAGCATTAATAGGCTGGACACGGTGGCTGATGCCTGTAATCCCAGCACTGTGGGAGGCCAAGGTGAGTGGATCATGAGGTCAGGAGATCGAGACCATCCTGGACAGCATAATGAAACCCCCGTCTCTACTGAAAATACAAAAGTTAGCCGGACGTGTTGTCATGAGCCTGTAGTCCCAGCTACTCGGGTGGCTGAGGCAGGAGAATTGCTTGAACCTGGGAGGTGGAGGTTGTAGTGAGCTGAGATAGTGCCACTGCACTCCAGCCTGGGCAACAGAGTGAGACTTCATCTCAAAAAAAAAAAAATACCATTAATAGTCACGTAGGTTGATTCATGTCTTTCCTGTTATAAATAATGCAGTGATGAACCAACAAGTGCATGTGCTGTTTTGGTAGAATAGTTTATTCTCTTCTGGGTATACACCCAGCGGTGAAATTCTGCGTTGAATCATAGTTCAACTCTCAGTTATTTGGAAAATCTCCAAGCTGCTCTCCACAGTGGCTGAACTAATTTATATTCCTATAAACAGTGTATAAGTGGTTTTTTCCCTCTAAAACCCCACCAATATCTACTATCATTTTACTTTTTAACAAAAGCCATTCTAACTGGTGTACGATGGTGTCTTACTGTGGTTTTTATTTACATTTCCTTGATGGTTAGTGATAAGCTTTTTTCATGTTGTTTGGCCACTTGTATGTATTCTTTTGAACATTGTCTGTTATTGCCCACTTTTTCATGGGGTAATTTTTTGCTTGTGAATTCTTTAAGTTTCTTATAGATTCTGAGTATTAGATTTTGTCAGGTTTATAGGTTGTGAATATTTTTGCCATTCTGCCAGCTTTGGGGTTAGTTTGTTTTTGTTTTTCTAGTTTCTCTAAGTGTGATGTTAAATTGTTAGTTTGAGATCATTCTAACTTCTTGATGCAGATATTTAGCACTCTCAACTTTCCTCTTAACAGAGCTTTTCCTACAACCCAGACATTTTAGTATATTGTGTCTCTTCATTTATTTCAAATTTTTTTTAAGTTTCTGCCTCAATTTTGTTGTTTACCCAAAATTCATTCAGGAGCAAGTTGTTTAATTTCAATGCCATTCTGTGATTTTGTGAGATTTTGTTGGTATTGATATTTATCTTTTTTCCATTGTGGCCTGACAGTATGGTTGGCATAATTTTCATTTTTAAAAAATGTATGGATAATTGCTTTATGGCTAGGAAGTGGTCAATCCTAGAGTATATTCTGTGAGCGATGAGAAGAATTTATGTTCCTTAGATGATGTGTGGTGTATACTATAAATGTCTATTAGTTTCAATTGATCAAGTGCGAAATCAAACTCCAGAATTTCTTTGTTAAGTTTCTGCCTAGATAATCTGACAAACACTGTTATTGGGGAGTTGCGTTTCCCTACTATTATTGCGTGGCTACTTGAGTCTTATTGTAGGTCTAGCAGTACTTGTTGTATAACTCTATGTTCCCCAAAGTTGGGTGCATCTATATTTAGGATAGTTAAGTCTTCTTGTTGAATTGAACTCTCTATCGTTATGCAATGCCTTTCTTTGTTTTATTTTACTATTAATGATTTAAAGTCCTTTTTTCTTAAAAGAGAAACAATTCCAGGTATGGTGGCTCATGCCAGCACTTTCAGACTGAGGCAGTAGGATTGCCTGAGACCAGGAGTTTGAGACCAGCCGAGGCAACATAACAACATTCTGTTTGTACAGATTCTTTTAAAGAAACTATACAGGTGTGGTAGTGTGCCCAACTGTGGTCATATTTACTCAGGAGACATAGGAGGCATGACTGCTTTACTTCAGAAATTTGAGGTTACAGTGAGCTGTGATTGCACCACTGCAATCTGTCCCAGGAGATAGAGTAAGATCCTGTGTATAAAATGAAAAAATAAAGAAAAATAAAATGATTTTAAGTTAAAAAATAATTCATAGATCTCCACTTCTTTAGGGTCACTTGAATATATATTTTTCTCGTTTCATTAGGCTATATTTCCTGGTTGCTTTTATGTACTGTGGTTTTGTTAAGGTTTTGGTCAATTAAGAAACCACTACCTATTTTATCCTTTATGAAAAAGCTTTGTACATGGGAAAATTGACAATATTCAGCCACACTAGTCATTCCGGGAGCTTCTCCAATCTGTTGTCAAAATGTGTCTTCTTTGTACTGTATGTATTTTCTTGTTAATAAGGTTTACCTCTCTTTCCTCTTAGGAGCCTTTAGTCTCTTCTCTTTGTCACTGTTGCAGGCACTACAGTCTCTTTGTTGTAAGAAATATTTATCTTTATTCTCAGTCGACCCAAGCTGTCATTTAAACTCTATCTCTATTCTGGTCAACACTAAATGTTAAAGGTATAAATCAATAAGTCAGAAGTTTGCATACACGTTTCACTCTGTTTTCTTTCCCGAGGGAGAATCATGGAATGGACAGAATTTTATCTAACTGCACTGTTCTTTAGTGCAGAAATGTAACCAAATTTTCTTTCTTCTAAATGTGGTTATGGTTGGCTTTTTTCTCATGAGGGGTGCTACAAACTCAACTGGCTTTGCTCACCCAATTGCAGTTAAGTTCATACATCCATTGAGAGAAACAGGATCTCAGGTTCTTCTTCAACTATCATTGTGTTCTCAGCTGGCCTCATTTTGTTCATTAGATTTATAAAATATATTTACCTTAATTTCATCACCGAATTTTTTAAAAAATTATTATTTTCCAGCTCTTTTAGCATTATATCCAACAAGACCCAGACAAAACAGTACATAGGAGCTTCTTTTCAAAAAGTAATATTGGGAAGATATGGGAGCTCTGGCCTTGAAAATTTACACTTAAGGAGAGTGGGAAATTGAAGGATAAGTGTAAAGGGTACAAAGGATGCTATGATGAATATACCAGATATAGAGCAACTACCTACAGCAAAAATGTCACTGCTAGAAGAGCTCAAAACCATAAAGTATTTTGGAAAAAGCATAATTAATGTTGATTCTTTTTTCTGAACTATATATTTGTATAATTACATATCAATAACAATTTTTGAAACATCATGTTTTTGAAACAAAATTTAGAAAATCGCAATAGTGGCCTAGGCCAGGAATATATCTTCTAATGCTATCCCTCCCATAGTCCCCCACTTCCTGACAGGCTCCAGTGTGTGGTGTTCCCCTTCCTGTGTCCCTGTGTTCTCTTTGTTTAACTCCCAACTATGAGAGAGAACATGTGATGTTTGCTTTTCTACTCTTGTGTTAGTTTGCTGAGAATGGTGGTTTCCAGCTTCATCCATGTCCCTGCAAAGGACATGAACTCATCCTTTTTATGACTGCATTGTATTCCATGATGTATACATGCCACATTTTCTTTATTCATTCTACCACTGATGGGCATTTGGTTTGGTTCAAAGTTTTTGCTCTTGTGCACAGTGCCATAATAAACATATGTTTGCATGTGTCTAAGTAGTAGAATAATTTATAATCATTTGGTTATATACCCAGTAATGGGATTGCTGGATCAAATGGTATTTCTCATTGTAGATCCTTGAGGAATTGCCATACTGTCTTCCACAATGGTTGAACTAATTTACACTCTCACCAACAGTGTAAAAGTGTTCCTATTTCTCCACATCCTCTCCAGCATCTGTTGTTTCCTGATTTTTCCAATGATCACCATTCTAACTGGAGTGAGATGGTTTCTCACTGTGTTTTTGATTTGCATTTATCTAATGACCAGTGATGATGAGTTTTTTTTTCATATGTTTGTTGGCTGCATAAATGTCTTCTTTTCAGAAGTGTCTGTTCATGTCCTTTGCCCATTTTTGATATGGTTGTTTGTTTTTTTCTTGTAAATTTGCTTAAGTTTTTTGTAGATTCTGCATATTAGCCCATTGTCAGATGGATAGATTGCATAAATTTTCTCCTTTCTGTGGGTTGCCTGTTCACTCTGATGATAGTTTCTTTTGTTGTGAAGAAGCTCTTTACTTTAATTACATCTCGTTTGTCAATTTTGGCTTTTGTTGCCATTGTTTTTGCTGTTTTATTCATGAAGTCTTTGCCCACGCCTATGTCCTGAATGGTAATGCCTTTGTTTTTTGGGGGGTTTTTATGGTTTTAAGTCTTACATTTAAGTCTTTAATCCATCTTCAGTTAATTTTTGTATAACTAGTAAGGAAGACGTCCAGTTTCATTTTTTTGCATATGGCTATCTAGTTTTCCCAACACCATTTATTAAATAAGGAATCCTTTCCCCATTACTTGTTTTTGTCAGGTTCATCAAAGATCAGATGGTTGTAGATGTTTGATGTTATTTCTGGGGCCTCTGTTCTGTTCCATTTGTCAATATATCTGTTTTGGTACCAGTACCATACTGTCTTGGTTACTGTGGCCTTTTAGTATAGTTTGAAGATAGCTAGTGTGATGCCTCCACTTTTGTTCTTTTTGCTTAGGATTGTCTTGTCTATGCAGGATCTTTTTTGATTCCATATGAAATTTAAAGTAGTTTTTTTTCTAATTATGTAAAGAAAGTCAGTGGGAGCTTGATGGGGATAACACTGAATTTATAAATTACTTTGGGCAGTATGGCCATTTTCACAATATTGATTCTTCCTATCCATGAGCACGGATTGTTTTTCATTTGTTTGTGTCCTCTCTTATTTCCTTGAGCAGTGGTTTGTAGATCTCCTTGAAGAAGTCCTTCCCATCCCTTTTAAGTTGGATTCCTAGGTATTTTATTCTCTTTGTAACAATTGTGAATGAGAGTTCATGCATGATTTGGCTCTCTGTTTGTCTATTATTGTGTATAGGAATTCTTGTGATTTTTGAACACTGATTTTGTATACTGAGACTTTTTTGAAGTTGCATATTGGTTTAAGGAGATTTTGGGCTGAGACGATGGGGTTTTCTAAATATACAATCATGTCAGCTGCAAACAGAGACAACTTGAGTTCCTCTTCCTATTTGATTACGCTTTGTTTCTTTCTCTTGACTGATTGCTCTGGCCAGAACTTCCAATACTATATTGAATAGGAGTGATGAGAGAGGGTATTCTTGTTTTGTGCAGATTTTCAAAAGGAATGTTTCAAGTTTTTTCCCATTCAGTATATTGGCTGTGCGTTTGTCATAAATAGCTCTTAGTATGTTGAGATAAGTTCCATGAATACATAATTCATTGAGAGTTTTTACCATGAAGAGGTGTTGAATTTTGCTGAAGGCCTTTTTTGCATCTATTGAGATAATCATGTGGTTTTTGTCATTAGTTCTGTTTATGTGATGGAATACATTTATTGATTTGCATATGTTGAACAAGCTTTGCATCCGAGGGATTAAGCTGACTAGATCGTGGTGGATAAGCTTTTTGATGTGCTGCTGGATTCGGTTTGCCAGTATTTTATTGAGGATTTTCGCATCGATATTCATCAGGGATACGGGCCTGAAATTTTCTTTTTCTGGTGTGTCTTTGCCAAGTTTTGGTTTCAGGATGATGCTGGATGCATAAAATGAGTTAAGGAGGAGTACCTCTTTTCTATTGTTTGAAATAGTTTCAGAAGGAATGGTACCAGCTCCTCTTTGTACCTTTGGTAGAATTCGGCTGTGAATCCTTCTGGTTCTGGACTTCTTTTGGTTGGTAGGCTATTAGTTACTGCCTCAATTTTAGAACTTGTTATTGGCATATTCAGGCATTCGACTTCTTACTGGTTTGGACTTGGGAGGGTATATGTGTCCAGGAATTTATCCATTTCGTCTAGATTTTCTAGTTAATTTGCAAAGAGTTTTTTATAATATTCTCTAATGGTAATTTTTATTTCTGTGGATCAATGGTTATATCCCCTTTATCATTTCCTATTGCATGTATTTGATTCTTCTCTTCTTCCTTATTACTCTGGCTAGCAGTTTATTTATTTCTTGATCTTTTCAAAAAAACAGCTCCTGGATTCGTTGATTTTTTGGACGGGCTTTTTGTGTGTCTATCTCCTTCAGTTCTGCTGTGATCTTAATTATTTCTTGTCTTCTGCTAGCTTTTGAATTTGTTTGCTCTTGCTTCCCTAGATTTTTAATTGTGATATTATGATGCCGATTTTAGACCTTTTCTGCTTTCTCTTGTGGGCATTTAGTGCCATAAATTTCCCTTTGCACACTACTTTAGCTGTGTCATATTTTAATTTTTAAGCCCTCAATCTTTCTTTTTCATCATGACAGTCTTGACTGTTTTATGTTTATGAAAACTGTAAAATTGTTTACACAGTTTTTACAAAGACTTTACCAAAAGATTTTATTGAGAATGTACAAACCTGTCAGTCAATTAGGGGAGAAGTTGCATTGTAGTAATAAATAGCCACAAAACAAAACCCTGAAGGACATCCAAACCAGAATAAAACAAAACATTTTAACAAAGAGAAAAAGAACAATCTCGCAACAAATATGTGCAGTTTATATCACAAAGATGTTCACATCTCCACTTTAAAGAGAGCTTTTAGAAGTTGATTTAAAATATGGGAAAAGACATTATCCCACACCACAGAAAAAATAAATTTAAGCAGCTCTTAACACATGAACGTATTATCAAGCTCAGATGGAATCAAAATTAAATATTTGACAACAGATTCTACAGTTTGAGAGAAATAGAAAAGTGTTTTTTTCTTTTCTCCAGGTCCACAAGTCTAGTTTCTTGGACTCTCTCACTATAATGGAGGTTGTCATCAGCTCCCCAAAATAAGGGAAGCACAGAGCAGATGGTGGCTGAAGGTGGGGAATCCTGTGAAATCATATTTAAGATCATAGCCCGTGGTCCATTGTATTGTAATCAGCTGGCTCAGGAAAGAAGATCTGGATCTCCTGAGCTCTACACCTACTGCAATGGATATGTCAGGAGTCCCGAGAACCTCTGGGGCCCAAACCCCTCCCACCAAAATATATCATCCAGTATTGAGGACTCTGACACCAAATTCTCACAGAGCATATGCTTATGCAATTTTACATTTAATTTCTCATTACATTACAATTGGGAAAATGAGGCCCCAAAAGAGGCAGGGACTGATCCAGATCTCAGGAGGTGGGCAGGCTCCAGAGCATTAGAGAGAGCTCCAGCTTCCTAGGCCTTGGCTCCATCCCACCTATCAGGTTTGCTTTGGAAGTTAGAGCCTGTAGCTTCACATTCAGGGGCACAGAGAATGAGCAGATCCAGGGTTCTGTTCACATGGGGACCTCTCCATGTCAATTTCAAGATGACAGGACTGGGGTTTTGCATCCAGCTCTGAGGGCACCTGGAAGTAAAATGAGCTATGCTCCACCTCAGCGTAATGTAGAGAATGCCTGCAGGAAAGCCTGTTTTCTTCCTCATAAATAGGGCTGTTTGAACTGGGTGACCTCGACGATTTCACATACTCATAAGTGTCTTCCAGCCCTGATTCTTGCTCTGAGACTGTGCAGAAATGCATCCACTCTCTGTAGGTCCTTCAAATCAGAGGGAGGCATGGCCACTTCAGAGGCATCTTGGGTAGATGAAGATGAGACGGAGCTAAATGTTCCAGAGCATTGGACTCTGAGGCTGAAGTCCACGGAAAATCCCAGCTCCTGTTGGGTTCTTAAGGTCCTCATTTGAAAGTGGTAGAAACTAATTTCACTGGATAAGGGGAGGATATCTCATGGATAAATAGCACAACCCAAAAGGTAGAGGCAAATAGAAGGCAAAGGGGGATTCCAAGGTCACTCATTGTACTTGGGGCCTTCAGATTCTGCTACTTTATCCCCTAGGACCTTGAAGAACCAGTGTCTTGAGGACAGAAAAATCAAGATACCTGATTTGTTCCATAGTGCTCCTGCATTGGGCCATAGAGTTAGTGATGGCCTGGAGGTGGTTACAGCCAGCTCTGTTTCTGGTGCCCACTGAGCTTTGCTGGAGCAGCTGGAACAAGTAAGAGTCACACATCTCATGTTGTTATCAATGATCTCCACATTATCAGGTGGTCAAAAGAGGAAGGGATATTAGAGATCCTCCATATAATCACTTAGCCAGTCTTTTTTCCCTTGCGCTCACCCTTTGCCAGCTAACCAGGTGGGTGCAACGTGGTACAGAAAATTATTACATGATGCCTGCACCCCCCAACCCAGGACCAAACATTCTGAGGACAGCTGGATAAAAGCACTAAAGCAAGTATATGTGAAAGAAAAGAGGAAGGACTATAATATAAAGTGGAATGTTGAGAAGAAAAGCTGGAAAATTATTGCATGGGAGGAACTAAGGCCTCATTGTGGTGATGTTTAATCCATGATAAGGATGACAACAGGGAGACATCTCTGCACAAGTATGTGTCAGGGAGAAGCCACCCTTAGTGAAGAGACTCATAGGTGTGAGTTCGGCAGAGGTTAGAAAGTTTGGCTGCAGACAGCCTGAGGAAGATATAAGTAGAGGGATGGAGAATCCTAGGGCCTGGGAGATGAGGTTAGATATCTGCTCCTTTCTGACAACATTGCCCTAAAAGTCAGCACTTTTCAACAACATATAATATCTCATAATTTATGTGGACCAGAATCTGGACACAGTTCAGTTGGGTACCTCTGCCTTTAGGTCTTTTATGACATTGGGACTGTGGTCTTAACTGAAGCTGGACTGGGAAAGCATGAGCCTTTAAGCTGACTCATGTGAAAATTGGCAGGGTTTAGTGTGGCTGGAGAGCCTGACTTTCCTTCTCTCTACTGGTCTGAGCACCCCCTCAGGCTCTGTTATGTTGGTCTTTACATGGAGCATCTCATAGCATTGAAGCTTGCTTCCTGTGTTTGAGGTATACAATAGAGAGAGAGAATTAGACAAAAAGGTGTACACAAAAAGAGACAGAGAAAGATTGAGGGCGCAAACAGGAAAAACCCAGTAGGAGAAAAATGAGAGCTTTAGAAAAATCTTGACAGGGTGCGGTGGCTCACACCTGTAATCCCAACACTTTGGGATGCTGAGACGGGTGGATCACCTGAGGTCAGGGGTTTGAAAGCAGCCTGGACAATATGGTGAAACCACCGTCTCTTCTAAAAGTACAAAATGAGCAAGGTGTGGTGGTGCATGCCTGTAATCCCAGCTACTTGGGAGACTGACGCAGGGGAATCATTTGAACCTGGGAGGCGAAGGTTCCAGCAAGCCGAGATCACACCACTGCACTCCTGCCTGGGATACAAGAGTGAAACTGTCTCAAAAAAAAAAAAAAGGAAACAAAAATCTTGAGAGTTCCAATAATTTTTCTCCTGTATTTATGTTAAAATTGTAACCCCCGTTGTAATGCTATACGGATGAAAGATGTACTTAACTCCTGAGGGTGGGACCTTCATAATAGAGATTACTGGCTTTATACAAGGAACCGCAGAGGGCTCTCTTCCTCCTTCTGCAAAATGATGGTAAAACTTGAAGTCTGCAGTCTGAAATTCAGAAGCGAGTCATCACCAGAGCTCAACCGTGCTGACAACCTGATCTCAAATTTCGAACCTATAGAAGTATGAGAAATTAAGTCCTGTTGTCTATAAGCTGCTTATCTATGGTTCTTTGGCATAGCAGCCTGAACTAATACAAAAGTGATATCCTTTTCTGTATTTCATTGGACAGAAGCTGAATTTGTACCCCTATGCTGTTAAAAAAATGACTTAAAATGGATTTTCAGAATGAAAGATAGGAAATGGCTTGTTGAAACACTAAAATGTTATCTGCTTATAAGATTTTTAAACATTGGCTGAAATTGTTGGAACTGATATGGCCAAATGAAGTCCATGAAGAATCAGATTGCATATGTTAGAGCCCAAATTTCCATTGTGTGTTTCATACTAACTCTCCCTGAATTTGCATGTGACTTGAGAGGAAGCAAGAAGAGATGACAGTATATGTCTCATGACTTTCCATATTCCTACTTTCCTTCCAGCAATCCCTTACAGAACCCACCTCTTAGGCCTTTTCTAATCACTGCCTTAAAGCCAGTATAAGAAAACAAATTTCAGCTGGACTGCTATCTCCTTTTTGGCCAACCTACAACATGATATTTTCCTCAAAACCCAAGGGCCATATTACTGTCATCAGGCTGTAGGCCATTTTATTCAATAAAAAACTGAGTCACTAACCACCTAGTACTGTGAGATTTTGTGAAGAGTTTCCCTGTCATAGACGTGAGAAGGCACATGGATATGATTCTAAATATAAAGAGAAAGCACTAGAAAGTTGAATGGCTGTATTAGGACTTTGTCATACTGCAATGATGAAGTACTTGAGACTGGGTAATTGATAAAGAAAAGAAGTTTAATTGACTCACAGTTCCACATAATTGGGAGGGCACCTCAGAAACCTTCCAATTACAGTGGCTGACAAGTGAAGTGAGTGAGAGCATGGGATGTACCAGATGCTTATGAAACTATCAGATCTCATGAGAACTCACTATCACAAGAACAGCATGAGGAGAACCCATCCCCATAATCCAATCATCTCCCCTCAGGTTTCTCCCTTAACACCTGGGGGTTATAATACACAGAGAAGTTTGGGTGGAACACACAGCTAAACTATATGAATGCCAGAGGACAGTATCTACATTTAATTTCAACTTCATACTGGAGCAGAATGAAAATGAAGCGCAGTGGAGAAGTGACATTCCCAAGATCACCCTGCCAGACCCAGGCTTGTTTGAGTTGTGGCCCATGCTACCTTCTACATATTCTCCTAATGCTTCCATCTCTAAGTGTGTGCATTATCTACAGGTAACACCACATGATTTTTATGTTTTATCTTATATACATCTAATACAATCCCTAGGAAGTAGATGTTAGCATCATCCCCACTGTGCATGCTTGGAGGCTGGGGAAGCCTCAAATACACAGTGACTTTTATTGGGTCCCAGAGATGGTAAGAAAAACAAGGTTATGTTCCAGCTGTCTCTTATATCCTGGAACCCAGGCTGCATTTAGTTCTTTCCAGGGAATTAAGGGGAAGTTGTGTTTGCATACTTGTGTACAAATGAAGAGTTGACATGGAAGAGGAGACTGAGCAATTAGTAGCATAGTGGGGCTTTTGGGTAGGTCTTACAGAAAGAAGGGACCCAGTAGATGGAACCTTGAAGAGTTTAACACACTTTCTTGGTGACAACCCAACATCAGTTAAGAAACCAGGAACCCACATTCTTGAGACAGCTCTGTATCCACCTCTGTTAGTGAGAGATGCTCAAGAGAGTGAGATGTTCTTTCATTGTGCCCTGAAATTTCTGAGTTTTGACTTTACAAAGGCTCAGTGTAAAAGCCTTATCTGAAAACACGGATGTCAACTCAGGCCTCATCATTGATGCCCCTGGCTATTGGCCGGGTGCACCTACAAATAACACAGGGCAGCTCAGGACAGGCCCCAGAGCCAGGCCTCTCTTGTCAACTCATCTGGGAAGTCCCACACCATTTCTTAGTACCATGAGTTGTATGGGGAGCAAGAGGGAGGGCACTCTTCTTTTACTGAAGCAGATTGTCAGGTGTTGGAACCCTTGTGTACCTGTCATGTTCATACCTAGGCCATAGCTGGCAGAATAAAAAGAAGAGGGTTGGAGAACGAGTCTGTGTACTCAGATGTGAATTCCAAGACTTTAACTTGTCCTCTGGTTTCCTTCCTTGCTGGAGATTCATACAGATTCTCCTTATGTGCCTAATCTGAAGAGCAGAATTTCTTTTCTTTTCTTTTCTCTTTTATTTTCTTTCTTTCTTTCTTTCTTTCTTTCTTTCTTTCTTTCTTTCTTTCTTTTTCTTTCTTTCTTTCTTTCTTTCTTTCTTCTTTCTTTCTTTCTTTCTTTCTTCTTTCTTTCTTTCTTTCTTTCTTTCTTCTTTCTTTCTTTCTTTCTCTTTCTTTCTTTCTTTCTTCTTTTTTTCTCTTTCTTTCTTTCTTTTTCTTTCTTTCTTCTTCCTTACTTCCTTCTGTCTTTCTTTCTCTCTTTTTCTTTTTCTTTTTTCCTTTTTGAGGAAGCCTCGCTCTGTCACCCAGGCTGGAGTGCAGAGAAAAGCAGAATTTCTAGTGGAGGTGTCACATACGGTGAAAACAAGGCAGACCACTGACTTTTCTTTGCGTGGTTTCTAGGCACTTTTTACAGAGCTGCATTCAGATTGATGAGGAGCTTCTTGATGTGGCCAACTCCTCCCTCTTTTTGGAAAAAGACCAGGTGCACTAAGCCAGCAACCACAGCCAGCACCGGGCTGTGGTAAGAGCAGCCACATAGGGGTCTCTACAGACAGAAACCCGAGAAGACCGGGACAGACCCAGTACCCAGACTCCAGTATGAAAACTCTCTGGGCTGTGTCCTATGATCTTCCCATGAGTAACTCATAGTCTTGATCCAGTGGAATCTGGCCTTCATTAGTCTCAGTGGCAAGTTGGTTATGTGGAAAGTCTCTGTTCACTCACTTGGGTGAATAACAGTAAAGACCTTTCTATTGTTTTCACTTTACATTAGGCCATGAGTATTTGTGCCTGTAGCTGCAGTTTGTGTTAGTTTCCTACCCCAGGTATCTCCTGCAGCATGCAGCTTCAGTCCTACCAGACCCTCAAAACTTAAAAGCGAACACTATTTCTAGGGAGGATTTTGCAGGAAAATGGAGAAAGGGTTACACACAAAAAAGGTTAAACTACTCTATGCATGTTTCTGCAATGTGTTATCTCAAGAATTCATCTCTGTAGCCCATCAGGGCAGGAGCTGGTCTCTCACCTGTTGATAATATTCCATAAGGGAGGTTCTTCCCCACAGTGTTTAGTCTTCCGACGCTGGTATAGCCTGACATGATGACATTCTACTTTCATGTTGGTCATGCTGCAGGGAGAATTCTGTGAGTGTCCTAATAGGCTGGAATCACTTGCTAAGGTGAACCCCATCTTTGGTGCTCACTTTTCTGTTATCTTATAATTAGCTTTATTCTAAGCAAATCCATGTCTATTTTATTTATCTGTTTATTAACTTATTTTTATGTATGGAAAAACACATTTTTTTATTTGCTTATTTATTTAGAGACAGGGTCTCCCTCTGTCATCCAGGCTGGAATACAGTGGTAGATTGGAGTGATCATGGCTCATTGCAGCCTCAAACTCTTGAGCTCAAATGATTCTCTCACCTCAGCCTCCTGTGCCACCATGCCCTGCTAGTTGATTTTAATTTGTTATAAAGAAAGTGTCTCATTATGCTGCCCAGGCTGGTCTCAAACTCCTGGGCCCAAGCAATTCTCTCATCTCAGCCTCCCAAAGCACTAGGATTAAAAACATGAGCCACTGTACTGCGCTGTGCCTACTTCAAAGGACTGAAAATAAAAAATAAATAAATCTTTGCCAAATTAAAAAACAAAGCAATAGTTTCCAGGTCTTAGATAAAGACAATTCTCTGTCATGAAGAATGACAGAAGGCTTATTTAGCTGTTAAAATGATTTGCTTATATTTCAAAGAAGCAGAGAAAAAAAGGTACATGTAAAAGTGTTCCAGGCCACTCATGGTGGTTCATGCCTGTAATCTGAACATTTGGGGAGGCCAAGGCATGAGGATACCTTCAAGCCAAATGTTTGAGTCCAGTACAGGCAATATGGTGAAATTCTGTCACTACAAAAAAATAAAATAAATATGGCTGGGCATGTTGGCTCACACCTGTAATCCCAGCACTTTGGGAGTCTGAGGCAGGTGGATAATGAGGTCAGGGGGTGGAGACCAGCCTGGCCAAAATGGTAAAACCCATTCTCTACTAAAAATAATAATAACAAAAAATTAGCCAGACATGGTGGTGTGCGCCTGTAATCCCAGCTACTCAAAAGGCTGAGACAGGAGAATTGCTTGAATCTGGGAGGTGGAGGTTGCATTGAGACAAGATCATGGCACTACACTCCAGCCTAGCCCACAGAGCAAGACACTGTCTTGAAAAAAAATAAAAACAAAAATAAATAAAGCTAGCCAGGCATGGTGGTTCATGCCTATAGTCCTAGGTAATTAAGCGGTTGATGCAGGAGGACTGCTCAAACCCAAGAGGTTAAGGTTACCGTGAGCTATGATTATGCCGTTGCACTTCAGGCTAAGTAAAAGAGTAAGATTCTGCCTCAAAAAATTACTAATTAAAGTTTTCCAGATTACATTGTTTAAGAAAAAGGAAAAGAAAAAAATCTTTTTTTTATTTTCAAATGGGAGAATAGAGCCTCTCATTTCTAATTTGTATTGCCTTCTGCAAAAACTTAGTCTAGGCCCATGGTCTTGAACTACTGGACATCTGAATTTTGGTAGGTGCTGGATTCAGGCAACTGAGGGGTGGCCTTGGGCACACTGTGTGCACATAAAAGAAAGGGTTTGAGGTGAACTAAAAGGTAAAAGAGGGGAAGGTGCTATTAAGAAACCAGAAGTGAGAGACTGTACAGGGTTGGTGGGAGGACTGGTTCATGCTACAGACACTGACCCAGGTGAAACTTTTCTCTGAGTTATTTCTATGTTCATGCAGGAAGACGAGATTATGATCAGGTGGCACAGAAATCTGCGATGGTGAAAAAACCAGGTTGCCACTGCAGATTCGGTGTCTGAAGTAGAACATATGCCAGGGGTCTTGTAGGCACGTGTGTGGGTTTTTGGTGGGAAAGTCTATGAGGAAAGGTAGGATGGGCAACAATCTTGATGCCAAAGCCTTGTCCTGAGAGGGGCTTGACCACGTCAACATGCAGTGTGTATGTTCAGTGGGTGAAAAACATGTGGTGGCCTCAGGTTGGCAGGAGGGTAGAAGGCATCTGTTCTCAGAACTTCTTCCCTCAGAGTCGTCGGTCCTTCTTACCATGGGAGGATGCCTGGAACCACAGGGCAGTGCATGGCGTAGCAGCCTGTGTGCAGAGCAGAGCCTACCTTCCCCGAGACACCTGGAGTCTCTCTCCAGCAAAGGCCCCCACATTGTCTTTCTCCTTACAACACTTTTGATCCTAAATGTGTAAAGTTCCCTGAAAACCCACTGCTTCTCCAACACCCATTTCTTGCCCCAAAATTTAATTCTGACACAACTTAGAGTTCGCACAGATCCCACAAATTCAGGGCTAAGTCCCACATCACCCCTCTCACTGCAGAGGTTAGTCACATGTCCCATAAGCCCATCTATACTTCTGAGCTACTGCCTATAAATCTGAGACTCCCATAAACCCCTTTTCAAGTTAAATAATTTGATAGAGTTACTCAAAAAAACTCAACAAATAAGTCTAATTATATTTACCACTTTATTATAAAAATACAACTCAGAAACTGACAAATGAAAGAGATGTCTAGGAAAAGGAACAGTTGTGGGTGAAGGTAATCCTGGAAATAGCTATATTTAAAGAAATTCCCCCATTCTTTGTGTTCTCAAAGAACAGCTTAGTGAAGAGAAACGTGCTTCCCATTATGACTTTGTGGATGTTCCCCCCCCCCTTTTTTTTAACCTATCACAAAGACGGACACAGATTACAAATTCCTATTTTTAAAAATGAACAACCATTCTGTAATTTAGTCTTCAGTGGTCAAAACAGAGTACTTGTTAACAAAACTTTGCTTGTTCCCCTTCTTCCCTCAGCCCCTGAACTTTGACTCACCCACAGCCTCAGAGAACCTACAACCCATATTTATACATATCCCTCCTAAGAACAGGCTGACTTCAAGATGAAACATTATCTTATCTGGGATCTGATTTTGCTACCCTCCATCCTGTGCTTCCTTTCCAACCTTCTTTGTAAACTTATTTTCTCCTCCCTATGAAATAAAACCCTTTTCCACCTAACCTTTGAGATCCTCAAAGATCTAATCATTTGTACTTTTTCCTTGTTACAACACTTCTTAAGTAACTTCTTAGACAAAGTCTATAAACAGTCTCAGGACAATAAAAACTCCATTCTAGAAAGAATATCCCAACTTTTCTTCAATCTCAACCCCAACTGCATCTGCCTGTCAACTTCCAGCTTACCAAAGCTCTGTATCTTCTGACAGTGACAAAGGCTCCTTCTATGGTTGGTGTGAGCAGACTTTGATGTCTGCAGGGCAGACACCCAGGAATAATCAACTGGGCCTTCAGTGGCCCCCTTTTGCAGGGTCAACGTTAGCCTTAGCTTTTAGTCAACGGTCTAAGACTTCTACTTACCAGTTAAAGTCATTCAATTAGTTTTCAATTTAAAAAATACTTCATGTTTGAAGAATCCAGCAAAAATCATTCAAATCTAAGGTTTAAAAGAGAGGAAATTATGGTCGGGCATGGTGGCTCATGCCTGTAATCCCTGCATTTTGGGAGGCTGAGGCGGGCAGATTACCTGAGGTCAGGAGTTCGAGACCAGCCTCACTAACATGAAGAAACACAGTCTCTACTAAAAATACAAACTTAAACGGGGGTGGTCGTGTATTCCTGTAATCTCAGTTACTTGGGAGGCCGAGGCAGGAGAATTGCTTGAACCCGGGAGGTGGAGGTTACAGTGAGCCAATATCGTGCCATTGCACTCCAGACTGGGCAACAAGAGTGACACTAAGTCTAAAAAATAAAATTAAAATTAAAAAAGAAAGTTATAAGGGGCTTACATTTTATAACTCAACAAGAAAAGCCAAAGTATCTATCCCTTTCAGAAAATAAACATGTAATTTAATTATGTTCATAACAAATCATTTAGTAAACAATCATATGTGAACACTTCCAGGCGGTGCCAAGTCCCAGCTCCTAAAACTTAGCGTTACCCTCAAACACCCAGATGACAGCATATGGAACAGAGATACTCACTATCAGAAGTTCTCTGTTTTGAAAAAAGAATAACTGATGTGATAAATTTATGTAATTTAACAATTAATCTACCTCACGTGCTTGTAGGTATGTATTCATTTCCTACCACCGTAGTGGAAGAGAGACTATCCCTATCAATACACCTGGTAACATTCCCAACAGTAAGCCGTGAGATTCTGCTTGAAATCACCTCTCAGACAAATAAAAAACAGTCCTGGGAAATGTACGACACTCATTCTGCTAAAGAAATAGGCAAGTAACAATTTTTAACAAGTGAAATATATTACTACTTAATTTTATTCAAAATTCACCAACTTAATGTGCTTTATAAATATTTTCATGCCTTTCAAGCTCTACTGATAAAACATAGTTTACAGTTAATTAAAAAGTGAAGTTAAAGTAAGTACAAAAACATTTTCAAGGTGACAAAATTAGAAGGTGACAGTGCCGATTGAAACACAGACATATCAGACCCAAGGGTCAAGTCAAGCCATTCTATTACTTGGGATATTTTCCCCACTCACATCTGGTTCAGTGAAGTGGGTCATGACCATCCTACCAGGAGCCGCTACCCTGTGCTCCTCTGTGTCCCTGAGGTGCATTTTACTTTGCAGGTTTTTGCACTGCCTCACTAGGTTGGGTTTCTTTGTCCTTTGAAATATTTTCTCTCCCTTCACCAATCTGAGAACATTTTTTCCTCAATATCAGCATCCATTTGCCTGGCCTGCAATGTGTCTCTAAGGAATGGAAACTAAGCTTTGGGGTAAGAAAATCTTAATGACCTAATGGGTTTGCTTTTAGCGCAAGGGTATACCTAGAGATTCCTTCCAGGCACATCTCAAACAACCACTCCACAGAGAGGCTGCATTCCCATACCTTGGGCTGTTCCCTGAGAGGAGATGACACAAGGGATGCTATTTACTAGACACTTCAAGAGTCATGGCCACTGTTGGCATCTTGGGGAATCCTCAAACAGTTTTGAAATTCAAAACCAAGAAAATAACAGGATGGCTGAGGATGTATTGCCCTGTGAAGTTTCCAAAATGAAACCTGAACCCAAAGGCTTTCTGATGGGGTGTCTGTGCCAAGAGAAGTTTAAACAAAGGGGCACAAAGGTTTTCCGCTTTTTATTTATTTTTTTTACAGTGGGGTGTCAGGGGATTATTCTCTGCTTTCATCTCCTGTAAAATGTTTACAAATGAGAAAAAATTTTTTTAAATGACATCCACTGCTTTTTGACAAAAAGAAGAATTGAAATACTGTGTCTGAAATATACAATAAAGAACAGTTGATAATGTTGTGAATTATGGAAGGTTAGTTAGTGTTGGTGAGTGTCAGGAAAGAACTGGAAATTTAAAATCTGATTGCAAGCCAGAGTTAGGCTGGGGCAACAGGGAGTTAGATTTGAGTCTCTGCCTGCCACACATTTGGAAAATGCATGAGAAAACTAGTTCCCTTTTGGAGTGTTAAAATAACTAAAAAACAGGTGATTATGTTGAGGTGGCTCTAGTGTCCTGAGCTCTGAGTGGAGAGACAGGCCAAGGCCTCCGTACTTCCAAAAAGCTGCCCATTCTTCTCCAGCTGTGCACCTGATTAGATAGTTTCCACTCCAAGACCCATGATTGGATGTAGTTCAATTCCCTACCCTGCCGCCTCAGACCATGAGTGACATATGTGATTTGACACTGGGTTGAATAAAGCAAGAATTATAGGTTTTTCCTGGATCCTTTTCTGGCAGGGCTTCCTCTGTGAACTAGAAACTGGCCCTGCCTGTAAAATATTTGCATTTACATTTGTATGTAAGATTATTTGTATTAATGAATAATATATATGTGTTATTCATATATGGAATCAATATAATGACAATTGTTTTAAAATTTCAGATGTTTTACTTTCCTGGCACATCCAGGTTTTAGAGCAGGCAGCCTGAGATTTCAAAAGGGAGGCAATTCTCTAAGAAATAATATGAGAGGCACAAGTGAATTTTAAATATTCTGGTAACTACTTTTTAATAAATATACCGGGCATGCTTCCCTGTGCCTGTAGGTCGAACTATTAGGGAGACTGAGGTGGGAGGATCACTTGAGACCAGGAGTTTGAGACCAGCCCAGGCAGCATAGAGAAAGCCATCTCTACAAAAAAAAAAAAAAAAAAAAAAAAAATTTGAAAAATTAGCCAGGCCTGGTGGTGCATGACTTCAGTCCCAGCTACTCAGAAGGCTGGAGCTGGAGGATCACCTGAGCCTGGGAGGTCAAGGCTGCAATGAACCATGATCACACAACTGTACTCCAGCCTGGCTGACAGAGCAAAACCCTGTCTCAAAAAACTGATCTCTGGAAAGGCAATTTGTTTTTCTGCAATGTAGCCAAGCAGCTAAGTATGTATTGAAGCCATCCTTTAATTTTTAACAGGGCAAGAAAGCTTTCTAAGACCCCGAACTCCAGATATGCGATGGGGCAAATCCTGAAGCGTACATGGCTATCTCTCACAGCTAAAGCATCCCTCACCCCTATCCAGCGCTTCTTACCCCTGGCGCAAGAGAATCACCTGCGGGGAGGAAAACTTTCAAAATCCCTTAAACCCAAGTTGTAACCGCACAACTAAATCAGAATCCTTGGAGCTGGATCTGAAAAAAATATGGTTGAAAGTCGTGCAGGTGATTACAATGTGTAGGCAAGCCAGAAAACCATGGCTTTAACGAGCAGCTTTTGTTAGAAATGATTTCTCCAATGAATGTGAAAACGTTTGCTGCTGAATTGTGACCTTTCCATTTTACCTGCTTTTCCTGCAAAGTATATTTTGCAGACCCAGGCTGGCTTCTCCTTCTGTTCCTGGTTCACCCAGTGCCGTGTGTGCTCAGTGCATCCTGTGCACGGGTCACTGTGTGCCCTGGCCTGGGTGAGCATCATTCTTCGGGGAGAACCTTGATGAAAACAAAGCTGCATTCCAAAAAGTTAAAACCATGCTACTTACTGTGTTGAAGTAAAAATTAAAAGACCCAGGGGGGCTCACCCAAAAGTTAAAACATAAATAAATAACTTGGAACATTAACATACACCTGATGATGTCCTGAGTGAACACGCCCCACTTGAAAACAAAACAAAACATTGCTATTATTCTAAAATATTAATTTAGGATTGTTATGCAAACATGCACTCTTTACATTTTTATTGATAAATAACATGCATACAGCAATATAGGCACAAAGCATTTAGGGAATGTTTGATGAATTATTACTAAATAAATACACTTGTGTATCTAAGAATCAGATTTGTTCATGCCCCTGACACTTTCCCCTTCCCAAAGGTAACCAAGACCTTAAGAGCTAAGTGTAGATAAACTTTGTCATTTTGTACAAGTGTTTTATTACAGATCACTAAAAACATACACAATACAAAAAAAGTATAACAGACCAGTCACCCAGCTTTAACAGCTGCTAGTCATGTGTCATTTTTGTTTTATCTATACTTCCAGCCATGCCCCCACCCCCAATTTCATTATTTTTTAGGCTTTTTGGATAAAATGTATATTCATTGCAAGGTACAATGCGAACTGTAAATAGTAGAGAGATGGGGTTTTACCATGTTGGTCAGGCTGTTCTTGAACTCCTGACCTCAGGTGATCCACTCTCTTCCACCTCGCAAAGTGCTGGGATTACAGGCGTGAGCCAATATACTCGGCCTGAGAATTCATATTTCTAATAAAGTACAAATCCATAGGGCACATGACAACTGCAATGTCTATCTACAGTAAAAACAGTTTGATGAATAAAATGAAAGGCAATTGACTTAAGGTGGGAAAAAAACAATCAAAGCATGGGTACTATGTGCCATCTGTAGGAGCATTTGGTTAAGAATAACAAACAAACCAGTTTTATTATTTTAATAACCGAAATTGGCAAAATTTCTAGTTTTTCTTTCATAGGAATGCTCTTAGCAAGAAAAAATTTTCATATGGTGAGAGCAAAAATGACAACCATTTGCAAGTAAATGTCTTATGAAATTAAGTAGCAGATATCAAGCTCATGACCTTCAGATTGTTACCCCTAACTCAATCATTTACATAGCAAGTGCAGATAATTTTCATAGTTCCCCATTAAAATTATACTTTACTCCCCTTACAAATTGTGACTGTTTTTAAATAAAGTTCACTAACTAAAATTTTGTATATGACATATGATAAATTTCCCTTCAAGTCACCTTATATTTACTTAATTGTGTTAGCCAGTGTCTGTCTACCTCCCAACAATACTTTGGGATTCTCCCTCCATTTGCACAGGCATCATAGCTGGGGAACAGGGATTCAAAAGACCCAGGCTGTTCCCTACATATGTTTCCTCCTCAGACATCAGTTAATCAGTCAATCAAGTCAAGTGAGAGTGGAGGCCATGTATTCCCTCTTATTCTTGGGCACTCTCCTCCAAGGAGGAAAAGGCCAGGAGGTCCTGTTAGAGGATGCACTCTGAGAGCCCGGGCTCCCTAAGGTATGAGAGTTCTAACCAGCAGGTGTAGACTTTTCAGGAGTGAGGAATGAGGCAGGCATTCCAAACCTGGAGCTTCATCACCTTTTGTTTCATCTCAAGACAATTCTGAGGGGCTGTTTTGGAGCGTGTCTGGAAGGTGAACGTTGAAGAAGAGTGTGGGCTTTGATGTGACTCAGATGAGATCTTTCATGGGGAGGCAGGAATTCAATGCCCAGAATCTGGGCTGGTGTCTTTGAGGTCAGTAGGTTGCCTCTTTGTATCCAAGTCCATTGTTACTAAATTGGAGGCTGGAGATTCTAAATGGCTTCCAGACCATCTCTCTGATTCTCTTTGGGAGATTGGGTCTGAAAAAGACAATGTCAGTATTTTTGGGAAATTCTAGAAAGTCTGCTTGGAAACCTGGGAAGACCTCTTGCCTAGTGCCTAAATATTCAATGTGCAGCTCTAGCCATGTAGATGCTTGGTAGGTATAGAGCTGGGTTTTCATTTATATCAGCAAAACCTATGTCAGAGTTGAAGAAGTAGTCAAGACAAAGTGTCTTGGTCGCAGGCCGGGGAACATCTTAAAAGCAAACTTCTAGCCTGATGACTCTTGGCAATGAGTGTTGGGTCCTGGCTAAAGTGCCTTGAATGCAGCATGAGGCCAATCCATGAATCCAACTTCCAATGGAGAAATGTTAATATTTTTTCAGTTTGAATCAATCAGGGTGAAATTACCTTGCTATTGGTTTGCTTACTTTTTATTATTTCATATAAAATCTAAGACAAAATACATTAAATGCTTATTGATATATGTATTTATTCTTCACCTGGCTCATAATATTTGCCTAATTTTAAACTTTCTTCTATTTTGTAGGTTTCAACTTATTTCATTGTAAGATATTGTTAAATCTAATACGGGCATTGTCACTTTTACAAATAATTTTATTTTATTTCATGTATTTCCTATTCACTTTTTACATTTAAATTATGGACCATTTCATCATATAAAAAGCTCCATTTCTATTTTAAAAATAAGTCTTTGGGTTTTTTTGTCTTGTAATTTCCATATTACATAGTAATGAGATAAACGTTAATGTTTTCAGGGTATTTTAAATTTTAAATAATTACTCATTATATCCACGTGAAATTTGTTTTTACTGCATGTGTGAGTTGGAGAACCGTTTTCACTTCTGACTCATCTTTACTGTGATCTCCTCAGAACTCATACCTCTTGTAGTTGGGAGATTGCAGTATATAATTCCAATAAATGGGGCAAATTCAATAATAACATAATACAAATGAGTTTGAAAGCAGGACATGTCTTCAAAGCATACACAACATGGGCCTATATATGTACAACAATAATAATTTATAAGTTACAGTTTGGATGGGAATTAAAAGTACAGAAAATTTGTTAAAATAAATTAAAATGGAGATCACGTCTCAATAATCTCTGAGCAGACGAAATTAGTTAGGTCTCATAAGTGATCTCAACCTTGCTTGATTTGCAAATACAAGCAAAACTTAAATATTTCTTGTAGCTGCCTATTTAAAAAAGAGAAATGAAGCTCAACCAATCAGGAGTAGCCAACATCCTTATATAAATAGAAACTGTCCAACAAGATAAACAGACGAACAAAAAACAATAAAAAAGTTGTGCTACCACCAATCAAATGATTTTTTTGTTTCTACATTTTTTCAATAAATACTTGCTTCTTACTCTGTCAGAGAAGCACTAAATAACTTTTGGTCTGATATTTTATAATTTATCAATTGCTCTTACTCAAATAGACACTTGGCAATTTCATTGTGTCTCAAATTACTTTTTAGCAGAATAAAATAAACTAGGAATAAACATTACAAAAATGTGTACAGAATATGAGAAAAACATAGAAAGTTTATGAAATATATGAATGTAGACATAAGCAAATAGACAATTTGTATCATATTCTTAGGCAGCAAATCTCAATATTATCAACATCAATTGTCCTTAAGTTTATTTATAAATTCAATTTTGTTCCTATACAGATACCATTAAATATTGGAAGTACACGTTACTATAAAATATTATATAGATGAAAACACACATAAGAATAGACAAGAAAACTCTGAAAAAAAAAGCAAAAAACAAGACTGGCAAGCTCTGTGAAAAATCTTGATTGATTAAAAACTCATATGTCACTGAAACTAAAAATTCAGAAATAGACCAAAGTGCCTAAGAAAGTGTCATAGTGCATCCAGGCTGCTATAACAAAATACCTCAGACTGGGTAAAGGATAAACAACAGAAATGTATTTTTCACAGTTATGGAGTCTGGAAAGTGCAAGATCAAGGCAGCAGAAAATTTAGTATATGTTGAGAGCCCTGTTCCCCATAGATGGTACCATCTTGCACACGGGACAAGGGCATTGCCTTCAACTTCCCTTGAAAGAGCACTGATTCCATTCATGAAGATGAAGAACTCTTGGCCTCACCACTTCCCCAAAGGCCACACGCCTAAAATTATCCACATAGGAATTTGCAAAGGGACATAAACATTCAGGCCATCGCAACAAAAACTACATGGGGGATGGCATCATTAATACTTGAGGTGTAAAAATGTGATGTTCTTATCGCAAAGGAAATAAATGATTTATTCTTCATGGCATATAACAAAATAAAGGTCCAAAGAAAATATTTTTTATGAAGATAAATCTATATGGTAAAAAACTAAGTGTTGATAAGGTTAACCCTACAGGTTGCATCAGGATTTTCAAGGTTTCTGGTGATGAGCAAGGCCCCAGAGTTTCCTCCTGTGACATTTACCTGGAAGTTGCTCATGCTGTTATTCAATTTGAAAGTAGATAATATTGTTTGTTTCTGTTCCAATATTTACTAAATTCAAAATAATATAGGGCTCTTTATGCGTAATTGTCAAACAGTCATTCAGTCAATGGTCCTCTGCTGAGGAAGAGCACAGATACATCCAAACACATATGATGTTCCTCAAATAGAGGACTTCTCCCTGTGCGGGAGTCACCTATGTTGCACTTGATCAGAGGCTTTCCCAGGCGAGCATTTCTCTGCAGCCCTACCACAGACTTAACCCTGGAAATCTGACTCAGAAGGTGATAGATGAACACCCAACCTAGCATTCTAATCTAATGGATCCTCTCTTAATAATCCCTTCCAGGGATCTGGGAGCTTTCCTGGATTCGTCTGCCACACACAGCTAGGCTAAAACATTTGGATAGAAGCTTTGATCCTCACTGGCCCTCCTGCCCTGTTCTACCAGCTTCTCTAGAAGTATGCTTCTCTAATTGATCCTGAGAGACCCATCTAAGGCTATCTCTCTGTGCCAATATAATTGATCTCATAAAGTGGGAAGAGAAACAGGCAAGAGTCCAGCTATGCTAGAAGCTGTGTCTAGGGTTCCTTATCTGCTTTATGTCTCTGATTTACCTAAATATTGACAAATACAGATTAATCTCTAGGTAGTAGAAAAACAGAAGGAGAAATCGCAGTTCACAGAAGAAGAAGAAAATGCAATCAGTAATTCCTAGAGTCCCGCTTAAGCTCAGCCACAGGGTACTAAGTCTCTTCAGGAAAAAGCAATGGTTGTCCATCATCTGAAAAACTGTGGCGTTGAACCATGGGCACCGAGAGTGCACACTGCCCACTAGAGTTCCATGCCTACATCACAGAGAGATAGAATAGTCTCAAAGGATTCTTAAGAGTAACGTGGAGACCAAAAGGAGCTGAATCCACAGCCTCTGTCTTACCGTCTGTTCTAATAGTATTTCCAGACTCTTTTGTGGGCTGCACCAGGGGTTATTCAGAAAGAAAAAAAGTTGTTAATGTCCCACCATTCCCCGTAGCTTCCGAGGTCTAAGTTGTTCATTTCCCACGTTCCAGGTTGTTGTTCTCCCTCTATCTCCACAGAATCAGTGTGTCTCATTCCGATATCTATAATCTCACCTTTATTCTAGTCGCCCTTTACTTTTTTCTAGACATTTTGTGTAGTAGAGCCAGGTAAAACAGATACAAGAATATTTACATAAAACTTAACCAGAACTAAGTTGGAGTCCCATAACTGCTGCTAGGCTGGGATGCAACTCAGAGGATACAAAAGCCAGGCTGGTCTAGAATTGCAGGTATGGGAAAGAAAGACATTTCACCCAGGAATTATTAGCACGAAATTCCAAATTTGTGAAATAGATTCCTAGATCCCCCAAACATTTCATCCTTATCTTGGAGGCAATCTGGAAGAGATAATCCCCTTTCAGAGAAAAGCATACCTAATCAACGAATTATCTAACCAACATGTGTGGAAAAGGAGGGAACATCGTAGAGTTGGCCCATTTTAGTCGATGTGGTGAAAAATGCCACGAAGTCAGAGCTCAATTGGCCTCAAAAGCCTAAAAGGTGGCACAGATTAGCTTCAAGGGACACATGGTATGGCTGGAGTCAGATGACTGTTATGCTGAAGAAGTCAACAGTGGTGACTGATATCTCAAGAAGTGGGCTAAAAGTCCACTTCTGGTTACTCTGCTAGGTATGGTCTAGGAATTCTTCAACCATGAGACAGATAGGTCAACTTTCACCAGCAACCCCAAGTCTGGTTTGCAGTATTAGACTCTGGGTTGGACACAGATTTAGGTTCAATCTGCAGCTTGATTGTGGTCACTCTCTGGAAAACACTTACCATGGACTTCTAGATGAGTGACCCAGTTAGATCAGCATCTGGGGTTGTTTCCGGTTTGCAGCCCAAAAGATATTCAGACAGTCTACACTTTCCATTGTAGATAACCAAACAGATAGAATATGTGCCATTATCCCAAACCCTGAGTTCTGACCTTTGAGAGGAGCAACCACTCATGTCAGGTTCTGTATGGCTGGCACAGGTTAAACAGCCACAGCGGCCCAGTGGACATCATGAGGTTTCACCTTCCCTGACTCATCTATGAACCAGGACCAGTCATATAGGAAACACTCAGTAAATTGGGGGCCCCACAGAGACAGCAGCTTTGCTTCAGAGGATAGAAGGAGGCACAAAATTTCAACCAGCTGGGGATGCCCTAGCCCTCTATAGGTCAAACTTAGTTTGTCAGGAGTTCTGTAGCAAGCTCTTAGCTGACTTTCAAATCAGTGTAACCAGTAGTAGTGTCAAGATAGCTCTGAGTCCAAAAGGCCAAAGAACACCTCTAGGTGGAAGCTAATCCTTTACTGGAGGCTCCAAATTTTAAAATCAAGATTTTCTTGACCTCAGGATGAACTGATCAATGCAAATCTCCCCAAATATTTTCACTAATCCTTAATTGGAAAGTAAGACTCCAGATTTTTTAACCTTCACTAAAAATAAATATCTGATTTTTTTTCACCTGGGATCTATGTATGTGTGTTGGAGCATGCCTTTACTAATCAGCATAAAGTTACAACTCTCCTTGTGCCTCTATTTTCTACTTGTGCAGAGTTTAAAGTACACAGGTGACAGCTTAGGGTTTTCTGGGTCTTTTGCTAAGCATGTACCTGACCCTGAGCATCCCCATTTCCCCATTTCTTTGTTGATCTCAAAGACCATTATCACAGTCCTAATTCCCAGGAGCTTTTCCTCCTAGAGCTTTTTGGCATGATTATTCTTAGACCCAACTGATATCCTTTGTTCCTGGTGAACTGGTAGCTTATTTCCATTTAAATGCTTTTACAAACATTAAGCTATTGATTTAAGATTTCTGTGCTTTTTAAATTAAGTAATGCTACTGTTAGCTTTCCACAGCAATTCAGGGTTATAAAAAAGGGAAGAAAATAATTATTTTATACCAATAGTAGGAAAAAGAGACTGGGGATGACTATATTAATAGCAGACAAAATAGACTTAAAAAGTTACAAGAGACAATAAGACATTATATAATCATAGAACGTGCATTTGGCAAGAAGATAGAAATAGTTTAAACACTTACATACCTAATAATAAGACATTTAGATATAGAAAGACTAAGTTGACAGAATTAAAGGGACAAATAGACAGTTCTAAAATAATAGTTGAAGATGTTAATACTCCACTCTGAGTAATGAATAGAAAAATGAGATGAATGACAAATTAGGAAATAGAGGACTTGACTAACTCAATGAACTAAATTGATCTAACAGATATATACAATATACTCCATCCAACAAAACAGAGTACACACTCTTCTCAAATGCACATGGGGAATTCTCCAGGATGGGCTGTATAGTAGATCTCAAATTAAATCAATAACAGATGAAATGCTAGAAAGTTTACAAAATTGTATAAATTAAACAACTACACAATTACAACTTAAAGAATTACAAAATTGTATAAATTAAGTAAAGGAAGAAATCACGGAAGAAGTAGGAACATACAGAGGAAGAAAAATGGAAACAAAACATATCAAAAGTTATGGGAAACAGCAAAAACAGTGTTAAGATGAAAAGTTTGCAGCTAAGATACATTTAAAAAGAGCAAAGATTTCAAATAAATAATAACTTTATCACCTAGTAAATTAGAAAAATAACACCAAATTAGATGCAAAGCAAAGAGAAAGAAGAAAGTATTGAAGATTTTAGCAGAGATAAATGCAATAGAGATTACACAAACAACAGAATTCCAAAAAACCAAAAGTTCACTCTCATTTCTTCAAAAAATTAACAATTGGCAAAACTTCAGCTACACACACGAAAAATTAACAGCATATTCACATACTAAAATGAGTAATGAAAGTGGGACATTACTACTAATTCAAAGAAATAAAATGTTTAAAAAAGTGTACTGTGAACTATGATAGGATGATAAATTGGAAAACCTAGATAAAGTGGGCAGATTCCTACTTATGCAAGACTTGATTACAAAGAAATACAAAATCTGAATAGATAGAAAACTACTAAGGAAATGGAATCAGTAATTAAAAACCTCTCATGAAGAAAAGCCCTTGTTTTGTTGGCTTCACTGGTGATGTAGATCAAGCATTTATAGAACAAAAATCCTTTCCAAAATCTACCAAAAGCCTGAAGAGAGCAGTTCCAAACTTATTCCATGATGCCAGCATTAGCTCATACCAAAGCCAGACAAAGAGACTACAAAAACCCATAGACTAATATCCCTTATGAACACGGATGCAAAACTACTCAGCAACATCCTAGCTAACCACATTCAGCAGCATACTAGCAAGATTACACCCCATGACCAAGGGGAATTTATTACTGGAATGTAAGGAAGATTTAGTGTATGGCTGGTTTCAGTGCAATGGTGTTTACAACTAATTGATCACAACCAGAATAGATTTCTTTATTCTTTTTCCAGTCTCACTGGTTCACTTAGCTAGCCTTTCTTAACAAAAGTTTTAGCATATGAAAAATAATCAATGCATATGACACATTAACAAAATTTTTAGAAAACATTATCTCATTAATACAGAAAATGTATTTTACAAAATTCAAAATATTTTATAATAAAAACAATAAATTACGAATAAAAGAAAACCATCTTTGTAAAATTCACGTATAAAAACCCACAGCAAACTACATGTTCTAGAGGAAAAGACCAAAATTATTTCGTCTAAGCTCAGAAGACAGAATGTCTGCTCTTGCCAGCCACTTTGATTCAACACTGTATTAGAAGTTTCATTCAGAGAAATTAAAAAAGACAATGAAATAAACTTCATCAAAGTGTGTACAGAAAATATATTCTTTTATGTAGAAAATCTTAAAGATTCCACACAAAAAATATTAAAATTAATAAATTCAGCAGAGTAGTAGCATACAAAATCAACATAGAAAAATAAACTGTATTTTATGTAGTAATACGAATGATCTGAGAAGAAAATTATGAAAATAACTCAATTTACAATAGCATCAAAAGAATAAAATTAGGAAGTAACCAAGAAGCAAAATGCCAATTATTTTGTGTAGATATTAAAAAATCAATTTTTAAGTTTATGAGGAATCTCAAGGGAACCTAAATTGCAAAAATAATTTTGAAAAAAAAATACCAAAGTTAGAGAAGTCACACTTAATGATTTCAAAACTTACTACAAAATTCCAAAATAGCATGCTACAAATAGACTAATGGAGTAATATAGAAAGCCAATATAAATAAACCCTCATATATATGGTCAAATGATTTTTATGGGAAATGAACTGCCTTTACAACAGTTAGTGCTGGGGAAATTGGGTACCTACATGTAAAAGAGTGAAACTGTTCCCTTAACTTATACCATAAGAAAAAATTAACTAACTCGACAAAAACCTAAATGTAAGAGCTAAAACTACAAAATTCTTAGTATAAAATGTAGGTAAAACATGTCATAACGCTGGATTTCGCAGTGATTTTTTTTAACAGGACACAAAAAATGCAAGAAACAAAAGAAAAATAAAGAGGACTCTATCCAGAATATACAAAGAACAATTCAGCAATAATAAAACAAAATACTTGTTTAAAATATGGGCAAAATACTTAGACATTTCTTTAAAAATTATGTGAAATGGCTAATAAGTCCATGAAAAGGTGCTCAACAAAACTAATCATTAGTAAAATGCAAATATAACTCCAAATGATATATCACTTAATACACATCAGCATAGTTACTACCAAAAGAAACAAAACAAAACAGAAAATCACAAGTGTTGGTGAGGACGTGGAGCAATTAGAACCCTTGTACACTGTTGTTGGAAATGTAAAATGTTGCAGCTGCTATAAAATAACAGTATAATAACTAAAAAATGTACACCAAAAGTCACCATATGATCCCACAATTTCACATCTGGGTATGTAGCAAAAGATGTGAAAGCAAAGACACAAAATAATACACGTACACCTAGGCTCATGGCAGCATTACTCACATCACCCAAAAGGTTTGTGAATTACCCGTGTTGTTTGAATTATCATCAATGAATAAATAAATAAAATGTGATTTATACATATATTGGAACGTTATTCAGTTATGTAAAATAAGAAAATTCTGACACATGGTACGTTATGCATGAACCTTAAGGACATTGTGCAAAGTGACATAAGCCAGTCATAAAAGGACAAATACTGTATCATTCCACTTATGAGATACTTAGAGTAGTTAAATTCTAGAAATCCAAGTAGAAGAGTGGTTCCTAGGAGCTGGAGGGGGAGTAACAGGGAGCTGTTATTTAATGTGCATTAAATTTTGGTTTTGGAAGTTGAAAGAAGGTCCCTATGAATGAGAATAATAGTTGCAAAACAATGTGAGTGTAGTTAATTTTTCTGAGCTGCACACTTAAAATAGCTAAAATGGTTAATTTTATGTATACTTTGCCACAATATAAAAAATATTTTTTAAATAAACAAACTATAGCTATCTGCAGTAGGATGAATTAATATCATAAATATAAAGTTGCATAGAAGAAAGTAGATGTAAAAGTATACATGTTGTACAATTTCACTTATATAAAATCCAGAAAGTGAACACAACTGAGGTTCTGGCTTCCAGTAATAATGAAGTAGAGTAGATTGTTCAATAACTGTTTCACATATACTATAATAAAGTTTAATAAAATACTATATTTTGCTATATAGAAACGCACACTGTTTAGAAGAACTGAATGAAGATTTTAGTATTGCCACTGTAGAAGAGATAAGGATTGGGGTTTGCATCTATTCAAATTAACTCCCTCATAAAATAATAATTTTCAAAGAAATACAACAGAAGCCAGAGTCCCTGTAATTCCTATCACACAATTTAAAAATTTATGAGATGCGTGAAGAAGGATGAAAATGTAATCGATTCACAAGATAAAAAGCAGACAATAGAACCTATTCTCAAGATGTGCAAGATGCTGTAATCGGTAGGTAAGATTTGAAAGAAGCTATGGTAAGTATGTTCATGGGGTTAAAGGAAAACAGTCTCATGACAAGTGAACAGATGTGTAACTGTGCACTCCCAGTCCTTTGGTCACAGGGCTGCAGGACTAAGGAAGGAAATTAAAGAAAAATGAAATTAAAAGGAAAGAGAAATAAGTTTTCTTGTATTAGGCTGATTTGTCCCAGAGGCAGCAATAGGCACAGCCCAGACCCAGGAAAATTCTTGATAATATTATGTAATGTGCTCTGGAGGTTCTCCCAACACTCCCCCAACACAGGGAAAAGAAAAACAAATTCCCTTTGTTTTATGGAATGAGTTTATAGATTCTTGTTCTCTGTAACTAGTGACTTCAAGTATTGTGTTTTATCGAAGAAGTACAATGAAAGTCATGAGAAGCCTGAGTAGGCTGAACTACAGCTGTTTGGGAACCATAGTGAGGGTTATAGGATAAGCCCATGCCCAGGGAAACCTAGATAATGGACATGTGGGTTGCTTGGCAACGGTCATGTGCAATCCTGTCTTTGTCCTGCCTCTGTATTCCTGCTTTCACGCCACTGTAAGCTCGCTTCAAGCTAGCCCACCCCCTTTTGTGAAGTGTGTATAAAAGTCAGGTGTTGTCTGTGTTCCGGGCCCGGTCTTTTTGACGTGAGTCAGCTGGTCCTGAGTGCACTCAATAAAGATTCTCCTGTTTCAACCTGAGGTCTGTCTCGTCCTCCTGAATCCCGCAACAGGAGAATTCCAGTATGCACCATGTTCAGGGAACAGTGCGCGTCACTGAAGGAAAAGTGGGGCGGGAGGGGGTGGTGCATGGCTGTGAGAGCCTCTTGGGCTTGCTGGGAGATGTAGTCTTATAAAGACTCCCAGCCCCTTTGTCACAGGGCTGCAGCACCACAATCCCAGCATACAACGGAATCAGGGACAGTGCGCGTCGCTAGAAGAAGAGGTAGAGCTGTGCATAACTCGCTGGGCTTGCTGGAAAATGTAATCTCATGAACACTCCTTAGTGAACAGTGAGCGTCATTGGAGGAAAAGGCGGGGCTGTGCAGGCCTTGCTTTAGTTGCTGAGAGATGCGGTCTCATAAACACTCCCAGCACTTTGGTCACAGGGCTGAAGGACTACATTTCCATCATGCACCGGGATCAGGGATAGTGCGTGTGCCTGGATGAAGAGGCAAAGCTTTGTGTGCCTCCTTTGGCTTGCTGGGAGATGTAGTTTCATAAAGTCACCAGACCTTTCATTACAGGGCCGCAGAACTACAATCCCAGTATGCACCAAGATCAAGGATAGTGCGCGTTACTGGAGGATGAGGAGGGATTGTACACGTCTCGCTGGGCTTGGTGGGATATGTATTCTCATAAATACTCCCAAACCTTTGGTCACAGGGCTGCAGGACTACACTCCCAGCCAGCACCGGGCTCAAGGAAATTGCGCGTCACTGGAGGAAGAGGCGGGGTTGTTTGTTACTCGCTGGGCTTGCTGGGAGATGTATTCTCATAAATCCTCGCAGCCCTATCGTCACAGGGCTGAAGGACTACACTTCCAGCCCCAGCATGCACTGGGCTCAGGGACAGCACACGTCACTGGAGGAAGAGGGAGGGCTGTGCGCTTCTCACTCTGCTTTTTTGGGAGATGTAGTCTCATTAACACTCCTAGCCCTTTGGTCATAGATCGCCAAGGACTGCAATCCCAGCATGCACCCAGCTCAGGGACAGTGCGCTAGTCACTGCAGGAAGAGGCAGGGCTGTGTGCACCTCCTGGGAGTACTGGGAGATGTATTCTCATAAACACTCCCAGCTCTTTGCTCACAGGGCTGCAGGAATACATTCCTAGTATGCACCCAGCTCAGTGACAGTGCGCTAGTCTAAGGAGAAAGAGGCCGGGCAGTGTGCGCCTTGCTGGGTTTCCTGAGAGTTGTAGTCTCATGGCCTCTCCCTGTCCTTTGGTCACGGTGCTATAAGACTACAATCCCAGCATGCTTGGGGCTCACGGACAGTCTACATCACTGGAGAATGAGGGGAAGGTTGTGTGCACCTCGCTGCACTTGCTAGGAAATGTAGTTTCATAAAGACTCTGAGACCTTTTGTCACGGGACTGCAGGACTCCAATCCCAGAATGCATCAGGATCAAAAACAGCATGCGTCACTGGGAAAAGATGTGGGGCTGTGTGCGTCTCCCTACGTTTTCTGGGAGATGTAGTCTCATAAACACTCTTGGCCCTTTGGTCACAGGGCTGCAGGACTACAATCCCAGCATGCAGCGAGTTCAGGGACTGTGTGTGTGTGTGTGTGTGTGTGTGTGTGTGTCCCTGGAGGAAGACGTGGAGCTGTGCGTGCCTCGCTGGGCTTGCTGGGAGATGCATTCTGATAACCAATCCCAGTCCTTTCATCACATAGCTGTAGGACTACAATTCCAGCATGCACGGGGCACCGGGACAGTTCGCCTCAATGGAGGAAGAGAAAGGGGTACATGCGTCTCGCTGGGCTTTCTGGGAGATGTAGTCTCATTATTTCTCCCAGCCCTTTTGTCACAGGGCTTCAGGACTACAATCCCAGCATGCACCGTGCTCAGGGAGAGCGCGCCTCAGTGGAGGAAGAAGTGGACCTGTGCTCTTCTCGCTATGCTTTTTCGGAGATGTATTCTCACACACTCTTAGCCCTTTGGTCACTGGGCTGCCCTTTGGTCACAGGGTTGCAGCACTACAATCCTAGCATGCATGGGACTGAGGGAGCATGCGCTAATCAGTGGAGGAAGGGGCGAGGCTCTGCACGCCTCTCTGGGCTTGGTGGAAGATGCAGTCTCATAAACACTCACAGCCCTTTTGTCACAGGGCTGCAGCGCTACAATCCTAGCATGCACCGGGAACAGGGAAAGTTGGCGTCACTGGAGAAAGAGGCAGGGTTGTGTGCACCTCCTGGGCTTGGTAGGAGATGTAGTCTCATAAACACTCCCAGACCTTTCATCACCGGGCTGCAGGACTACAATCCCAGCATGCACCCGGCTCAGGGACAGTGCGCATTACTGGAGGAAAAGGCTAGGCTGTGGACCCCTCCTTCTGCTTCCTGGGAGAGGTAGTTTCATAGAGACTCCCAGAACTTTCATCACAGGGATGCAGGACTACCATCCCAGTATGCACTGGGGTCAGGGACAGTCCGCGTCAGTGGAAAAAGAGGCGGGGCTGTGTGCGTCTTCCTAGGCTTGCTGGGAGATATATGCTCATAAACACTCCCAGCCCTTTGGTCGCAGAGCTTCAGGACTACAATCTTAGCATGCACCTGTCTCAGGGACAATGCGTATCACTAGGGGAAGAGGCGGGGCTGTGTGCTCCTCCCTAGGATTGCTGGGAGTTGTATTCTCATAAACACTCCCAGCCCTTTGGTCAAATGGCTACAGGACTACAATCCCAGCATGCGCCAGTCTCTGGGGTAAGGCATAGCCCTGGAAGAAGGGGCAAAGTTGTACATGCCCCACCTAATATGCTTGGAGCTGTAGTCCGTTAACTGCTCTCAGCCTATTTGTCGGTGGGCTTCAGAACCATAATCTCAGCATATACCGGGATCCGGGGTGCATAGCCCTGGAGGGAGGGACAGAGCGGTGTGGACTTCCCAGTGTCCAAAGCATTGCTGAGTTCTTATGCTATGCCGACTCTTTGCCACAGAGAGTGAGTACAGAGGTGGACCTGGAGGACAGGTCTTGGCTGAGCATTGAGGAGGGTATTACCCTATGTAGGCACCTTACCTTTGCCCAAATCAGGCGGGTTATCCTCACCCGATTGGCCCTATGCTTCTCAGGTTCCTCTTTCAGCTGCACCCAGGGTTCCTTCCAGAGCATTGCACCTTCTGCAGCTCAGGGCACTGCCTTCTTTCCTAAACTACTGTGGAAACTGTCCTGATGTCTGAGACACTGTCCATTGTGCAGCAGCCCTCTTTTTTCTCTAGCCAGAGCGCGTGCTCAATGGCTTTTGAGAGAAATCTTCCACATGGCCTGCTTGTGAACAGCTTCAGAGCTCTGCAGGGGCTGACAAGGGCTGAGCCTTCCTGGAAACGTCACTCTCAATGGCGCCTTTTTCACGAATGTGAAAGTCGAGGCATCAGGAAGTTAGTTTAATGGGTTGCAGAAAATCTAAGAGCAAGGGAGAAAACCCGCTTTCCAAGGCGTGAGTTTTGTGAGCCATTTTCATCAACCCATTTAAGTGGACAAGCTCCAAAATGTAACCTGAAGCTGCTGACTATTTAGGCATTTTACAATTAAAATCATCGGTCTCATCCCAAGTCGTGCCTCACTTGCCAGTGTCTCAGAGACACAAATGGGACCTGATCCCTCAGGAACAGATAGTGTTCCAGGTTCGTGGGAGCGACTTTTAAGTTGTGGAGCACTTGGGGTCGTTTGAAACCCACTATCTTCAGTAGGGACTTTTACGTCTAGAGAGCATGTGCATTTTGATTTTATCTGTCTTCAAGCTGAACCTTTGCTCATTTTAACAAGTAAAAACACATTCCTGGGTGAAATGTCATTGCATGCTAATGAGACATGCAACATATGCAAAAATATGTACAGCTACTGCACATGTGCACCCAGAAGACCACTCAAAGCATGCCTTCTATAACACTTCTTTCCACCTTCTTATGAATAATCATGTAAAACTCCCAGAAGGAGGGTTTCTCCAGCAACAATTAATGCTGTCTCACTCTTATGAGCAGGCTGCCCTGGAATCTCTTTCTCAGACTGTACCGTCTATTCTGCACTTGATTTTCAACGTATTCTTTTCTTTTTTTGTGTGCAATAAATTACTCTATGCTGTACTTCTTTTGCTGCATGTTTCCTGTTTAAATTCTTTTAAGCTAAGAAGATAAGAACCAAGGTATTACATCAGCCATCAACATTTCTTTTGCCATGGCCCGGAGAGAGGTTTGTCTGCTTCATTAATTTCAGTTTCCCTTTTCTTGCAGTGAATACTATGGCACTTCCAGACTACCTGGTTAACTATCGCTGGTTGTTCCAGCGCTGTTTCACTAAAGTTCTGGGGGAAACGTGTTTAAATCACCTATATTCTCTAGAGAGAGAATATATGTCTGCTCTCCTTTTGGCTGCTGCATCTGTACTATCCATAAAAGACACTCACCGCATGGGTTGCTCTCAACATTTCATATTCGGGCTAGTTTGCTGCTTAGTTTCACATCTTTCTGGCCACACTTCAGACTCAGCTTATCGTTTGCTGTCCCTTCGGCAATACTCGATCGCCACCTAGTGGCTATTGTACTTTATTTTCTGATCGGGTTTTCTGTTTACAGTTTTGTCTTGTTTTGTTTTGAGTGGAATATTAAGAGAACCCTGTCCCTTCAGGCTTTATGCATTTCCCACCTCCTTGAAATTGTTCTTCAACAGGTTTTCTTTGCTGAACAAACGATTCAAAGTCATGTAGATGCCCGGTCGTGGGGTTTGAATCTGAGCATTGCAGGTGTTATAATTCGGCATCATAAATTGCGAACCAGTAAATTAGGGAAAGGCTTGTCAGCCAGACATCTGTCCCCCAGCCAGCAGTGGGGGTCATCTCGGCAGGGCTGGAGATGTGCAGCGCTGGTGAGAGATAAGACGGTGTATGGCAAATGCCTATGACCTCCTAGAGCTTCAGTTAATGGGGTCTCGAGGGGCTCACCAGCTCCAGATAGGGACCCTCAGGGGCCTACACCTCCTGTAGAATCCGCAGCATCCCCACACTATCCGAGTCTTCTGCAGAATCTAAGCTTGTTTCACCTCCTCCTTATGCTCCTCTCTATCAGCCTTTGCCAGGTACAATAGTGACCAGCCCAGCTGTAGTTACTCGCGGTGGAACTTCACACCATGCAGGGCCAGAGAATTTGATCCCCTTACAGAAAGTCCCAAATGGAGAGAGGACCATCAGAGTGCTTGTTCTCTTCTCAATAAATGATCTAATCCAATGCAAGCAACAGCTCTGTTGGCTCCCAAAGAACTTCAGCGCATTTACTGAAGCCTTCCAGGCTCTAACTTTGACCACCATTCAACTTCACCATCCATAAATGGACCCAATGACTGCTGACCACGTAGCTGCAGAAAACTTTTGCTTATTGGCAAAAAATAGAAAAGACTTAAAACTTTTGCTGCTTTCACCATTTCAATGCAGAATTCCTTTGCAGCACAAATGTCACCATAAGGTGGAGCCTCGGGAATCCAATAGAAACTATCTCGGAAAATCTCAGTGTGTCCCCAACGAGCAGCAGAGGGTCTCAATAGACTTCAACAACGTCTGGACTCCATGGCCACTGTAGTCCGACAAAACCAAAGAGCCTGGGATCTTCTCCCAGCCAAGCAAAGAGGAACATGTTTATATCTAAAAGAAGAATGCTGTTTTTGAGATCAATCAGTCTGGTTTAGTCGAAGAAAATATTAATAATATCATCACCCAGGCAGACAAAATTGAATCTCTAGGAACTTCCATGGGAACATGAAAGCGATGTCCATTGCCTGCCTTGCTCTCTTTAATAGTACCCGTCATTATTATATTTTCAGCTTTTAGTTTTGTTCCAATTTTGTTTAAAATGTTAACTGATTTCTTGCTCTCTTGCTTACGGCAACTCCATGTTTGCATGATGGTTTTGCAAGGCTTTCAACCTTTGGTTGCCAACATCTTCCCACTGGTTCCACGAACGACATGGTTTACACCCTGTTAGATCACACAGGAAGAAACTTTAAGGCCCAGGCTAGGCAGAAGTAACACCCACTCAGCAGGAAACAGCTCCAGAAATAATGGCCTAACCCCTCAACCTCCAATATGATTATTGCCCTAAAATCTCTTAGGGGGAAATTGAGGCAGAATAGATAGTACAGAAAATGACCATGATCTCAGGATAGAGAAACCATGGTGACTGTACAGCCAACACAATAAGCCGTAGCATTCGCATTGTAATTGGGCTTATTCAAGCAAAGTTATCCTCATTAAGGACTTTCTGTTCTAGAAAGCATGTGCATTTTGATTTCACCTGTCCTCAAACTTAACTTTCACTTATTTTAATAGCAAAAAATATAGGCCCTAGCCAGGCAAGGTGGCTCATACCTGTACTCCCAGCACTTTGGGAGGCTGAGGAAGATGGATCACTTCAAACCAGAAGCTTGAGACTAGACTGGCCAACATAGTGAAATCCCGTCTCAACTAAAAATACAAAAATTAGCAGGGTATGGTGGTGCATGCCTGTAATCCCAGATACTCTGGAGGCAGAGGCATGAGCATGGCTTGAACTCAGGAGGCGGAGGTTGCAGTGAGCAGAGATCACACCACTGCACTCCAGCCTGGGCAACACGGCGAGACTCTGTCTCAAACAAACAAACAAACAAACAAACAAACAAACAAACAGAAATACACTCCTGGGTGGAGATCTAAGATGCTAACGAGACATGCAACATATGAACAAGCATGTATAGTCACTGCGTATGTGCACCCAAAATATCACTCAGAACATGCTTATAAGCAACTCCTCTTCCCCTTTTCTTATTAATAATAATGTAAAACTCCCGTAAGGGGGTTTCTCCAGCGACAATCCACGCTGTCT